>NC_000002.12:28284622-28437372 GCF_000001405.40 Homo sapiens | reverse complement strand
AGTAAAATTAGACTCCGTCTAGAGACTGCCTCGTTCAGTGGAAGGCTGAGCTGCAGCAGACATTATCTCACTCCTGCTCAATGTCCCCTCAGGCAGGTAAGGGATGAGGCTTGTTCCTGCTTTATAGCTGGGAGCCCAGGCAGAGAGGACAGGGCAGTTGGAGATGGAGAGAGAGGAGGCTGCCAGGCATAGCCCAGCACCTTCCCCACACCTGGGCAGAGGACCCTGCCGGCCTGTGCGGCTGCCCGCCTCCCCCCACCCCCACCCTGGGATCCACGCTGCCACCTCGGGGTGGGCCTGTGCCCTGCCTGAAACAAGCTGCCTGCCCCCCACCTTAGCTCACACCACCCACCCCCAGAAAATCCAGACCTCGCTCTCCTTCCTCCTCAGGGGCTGCCGCACTACCTGCCCGCTCCAAGGCCCTTTGGCAGGATGCCCTTTGTTTGCAGCACTCCCACCCTCGGGGCACCGTGTGGCATGAGGAAGCACAGGCTGCCTGGCCCATCCCTGCCTGGGAGGACATCTCACGAGTGCTTCTGCTAAGTCAGGATGAACCGGATTGGGGTTGGGCAGGTGGCAACACGCTGCTATTTATGGAGGCTCCTGCCCTTCCTGCTCCTGTGATTCCAGGAGGGCGAGGGCTGCGGCCATCCCCACCCGGTCACGGGACTCGGCCCATCCAGAGAGCCAGGCTAGAGCCACGACCGCAGGCTTGAAGGCTAGGAGTCTGCACAGAGAGACCACGAGAAGCAGCAGGCTGCAGGGGAGAGCCCTGGCTCAGACAGGAGACTCCAGGGGAACCAGCTAGCCCGGCCTCTGCCCACTCCTGGGGCCTCATCTGTTCAATGAGGGGGTTGGATTAAAAGAGATCCTCTCACTTCAGAGTTCCTCCACTGTCATTAGTCTGGGTTCCCCGACTCCCGATCCCTCCATTGCTCCTCTCATTAAAGTCCATTCTAATTAGGGGATTAGAATTCACCTCTGTCTAAATTAAAGGCTGGGCAGGGAGTGATGGCGGGCCGCAATGAACAGAGGTTGTGCAGGTGCAGATCTGGGCTGGCAGCCCTGGGGCACCTGAGAGGGGAGGAGAACAGAAGGCCCCGTCTGGCTCCACCTGCCTGACCTCCACCCCAAACTTGATCTTGTGGGTTTGGACCTAGAGTCCCCTCACAGAGAGGCCTTATGTGGGCCAGGGGTCACGCAGGATGAACAGGTCTGAGCCCTGCACTGGGGAACCCCGGGGTACCAGGAAACATCCACAAGGCTTGAAGAAGAATCCAAAGTCCTCCTAAAACCAACTCTGCTCCAGACATTCACCCACCAGCAAGACTTGGGACAAAGAAATTCCAAGCTCCAAACTCCACAAGCTCCTTCACTTACCATTTAGACTGGTTAATCATTTGTAGACTGTGTTTTGGTTTATAAGGTATTTTCCCATAAGTGATGTCATCCGATCCTCATAAAAAGACAATAGATATTTCTCCATTTCATAGATGAGAAAACTAAAGCTCAGGGAGTTTCAGCAGCTTGCTTACAAGATCCCAACTGGGAAGTAGAAAGAAACAGGCCTGCTAGTCTGGAGGTCAGATTCCAAGTACAGCATTCTCTTCAGAGCATGGAGTCCCTCTCTCCAGGCCCTAGGGACCCAGAAAAGCTCCACCAGCACCCAGACAGTGGGCTGAGTCCCTCCCAGCTAGCGAGGCTATGTGGTCTACAGTCAAAAGGGCCCAGAGATCCATTCCACTGTTGTCCTGGGCCCACATGTGGGCCCACAGAGAAGGATGGCCTCTCTGTAGTGGGTCAGAAACTCAGGGAAAACCTTCCCTAAAGTGTGAAATGACTGAATTTATATCCTCCTGCTAAACCCCGCACTGTTTCCTCATAAAGAAACAGAGCTGTTAGCTGTCTTCAAATACGGTCACCTGTGGCGACCAAGCAGGAAACAGATGGGATGGCATAAGGAAGGACCAGGGTAAGAACGAACCCTCCTGCCTCAAGAATTGCCAGGTATGTTACTTTGGAAGGTGGTAAGCTCCCCATCACTGGGGGAGTTCAAGCAAAGCCTGGGTAACCATTCTGTCCTAGGAATGTTATAGAGGAAATTCAACCACTGGATAGTTGAGTGGGAAGAATGGGGTGAAAGATATTCACACTTCTTTATGCCAGGGGTGCCACTTATTTGCCAAGAGCCCATGATCTGAAACAGGAACTATTTCAGCTTCTATTCAGACTCCTGATGCCCTTCTATGGGGCATGTTTAATCAGGATGGAGTTGTCAGAGTGTCTCTACCTTCTGCTGTTAACGACTGGAATGGAGTTGGGAGAAGGAGTCAAGAAGCAGGGTGTGTGTGTGTGTGTGTGTGTGTGTGTGTGTGTGTGTGTGTGTGTGTACATGTGTGTGTTAGTCCTTGGGCCACAGCAAGCCAAAAGGCTGACACAGGAAGGAACTTCTGGAGCTCCACACTCTGAGGGCTGAGCGCTTTGAAGCCTTCACTCTCTGCTCTCCCTGAAAAACAATTTGGACATTCCCATTGATTTGGGCGGCCAGCCAGAGACCTGCCTGGGCCCCATCGGCAGCTGTCCTCTTCATCACAGTAAACAAAATGAGTTGTGAGGTGGGTGGAGGCAAGCCCTGTCTTGGCCATGTGTTCTGGCCGGCCACCTGCATCCAGGAGACAGTTGGCAGGTCACTGGCCATCTCTCCTTTGCAGCTGGACTGGACAGATCTTTCATGCTGGGAGGAGTTCTCTTGGGACATCTGAGTACCCGAATCTGGAACCTGGAATTTCAGGTGCAGGGATTTGATAGTAGCATCCCAGCAATGTAATAGGGACACCCCAAGCTTTCTAGGATCCCCCAGGCAGTGAGGCTCCTGCCCCCGTGGCAACAGCGCTCTGTGCATACTTCTCAGAACTGAGAGCTTTTTGTGGCTTGGACACCCCAAGCTACTAAAGTTGGCCACAGTTTCCTGAGGGTGAGAAAATGGACCAGAACATCCCCTACCTCCAGAAAGCCTCCCAGGGCTGTGCTCGGTTGGTGAATAGAGAGTGACACCTTCCCTTTCCCCAGCCCTCTGCACGCCCCCACCTCCCACTTGGTTTTCAGTTTTCCTCTGGAGGCATTCACTGCCAGTCGGGGTTGCAGGGGGAGCATGACCGAACTCCAGCCTCGGCCCAGCCTCTCCCATGTTCTTCTAGGACTAGTACTAACTGTTCCCACTCATTCCTTCCTTCAATAAATGCTGACTCATGCACCTGCAAACCAAAAAGAACAGAAAACTACCTCATAGAAAAGTGGGCAAAGGATATGAACAGGCAATTCCCAGACTTGGCGTGACCACTTACTTGCTGTATAAATTTCAGCAACTAACTCAAACACTCTGTGCTTCACTTTTCTTATCTATTCTATTTTAGTGGGTTATTGTGGACACTGAATGATGTAATCCACATGTTGTGGGCTGAATTGTGGACGCTCCTGCTCCAAATTCATGTATTGAAATCTTAACCCCCAGTACTTCAGAATGTGATAGTATTTAGAGACAGGACCTAAGCAAGGTGAATATGTTAAACTGTATTAGGGTGGGCCCTAATACATCCTAACTGTGTCCTTATAAAAGGAGAGGAAGAGACATTAGGGTGCCCACAAACGGAGGGACAACTATGGGAAGAGGCAGCAAGAAAGCTGCCATCTGCAAGCCAAGGAGTGGGGCCCCAGGATCAACCAACCCTGACAGCACCTTGATCTTGGACTTCCAGCCTCCAGCACTCTGCACGGATACATTTCTGTTGTTTAAGCCTCTGGTCTATGGTGTTTTGTTGTGGCAGCCTTAGTAGATTAATACACCACATAAAGCACTAGAACAGTATCTGGCATACAATACGCAATAAATGCTAACTACTACCACCATCAACATTCTTTCCCTCCATTGTATACTCACACTGTATTAGTTTCTGATTGCTGCTATAACAAGTTACCACAGCTGTACCAGCTTAAACACAAGTTTATTACCTTATGGTTCTAGGAGATCCTAGAACCATAAATGTGTGCTGTTTACATAAGTCAAGAGTCTCCTTGGGCTAAAATAAAGGTATCTGCAGTGCTGCATTTCTTCTGGAGGCTCCAGGGGAGAGTCCATTTCTTGCCTTTTTCAGCTTCCAGAGGCTGCCTGCATTCCTTGGCTTATGGGCGCTTCCTCCGTCTTCAAAGTCAACAGTATAGCATCTTCAAATTTTTCTCTGGCCCTCCTGCCTCTCTAAGGATCCACAGGATTATATCAGACCCTCCCTGATTATCAGGGTAACTTTCCCATCTTAAGAGCCTTAATTCAGTGACATCTGCGAGGGTACTTTTGTCATTTAGGATAACATATTCAAAGATTTGGGGGATTAGGATGTGTACATATTTGGGGAAGCATTACTCTGTCACACACACAATGTATTATAAAGTGAGAAAAGCAAGCTGTAGGACAAATGCATATAGATCGATCTTGTTTATGTAAAAAAAATCAAATAAATTTCTACAGAGAAAATAAATACAGACAGAATGAAACTGACAAAACTATTAACCATGGCATTTTCTGGGGCTTCACACTGTGCATTTAAAAACATTTTTTATAACATGCGTCTTGTTCATTAATTATTTTTACGATTTTTAAAAATTTTTGGTAAGTAATCCAAAGAAAAAAAGAAGACACATGTACTCATCTTTGTGGGGCCCCGGCTAGAGTCATCAAATAAATCGCCAGTACCAAAAGCTCTCCGTAAGTATTCTAGGCAGTGTGGGCAGAGCACTGTGGCCACTGGGGCAGGAGCCGCCCACTGCCTGGGGCACCCTGGAAGGCTTTGGAGGAAGTGACACTTCTGCTGAGTTCTTCCGGAGAAGAAGGAGTTCTCCAGGTAGAGGGAAGGGAGAAAAGTATTGCAGATGACCACGGCTCAAAAGGAGTCTGCCCTTTATCTGGCAGTGTAGGTGATGTGGAGTAGAGGCTGGAGGTAGGAATCTGCCACTTGACCATGGCCAGCCACGTGGAGAGATAAAGGCAAAGGGAAGGGAAGCTCCTACCTGGAGCCGCAGGCTGCCAGGCCCCAAGCTGAGCGGTTTTGTAGGCATTTCCTCACTGGGTATAAATGAACCTTGGCTGTATGATTTATGGGAGGAGAGAGGGTCCGGAATGGATGAGAAGCATGAGAAAAGGAGGCAGGGGCTTGGGGCAGGGTCTACCGTTAGAGCAGCAGATGCAGGCTGGGAGGGGTAGGGCCAGAGCTGGAGGAACACCCTCCCCACGCTATCCCCAGACACTTCTGGGCTTCTTATGGCCCCATCCACCAGTTCTGCCCCAAGGCAGGTCTAAGTTCCAGAAAAGACTTAGGCAGCCTAATAGGACTTGGGGCCAAGGGAGCTTCCCAGGGACCCTGACCCTGGACCTGGTGCCTAAGGGTCGACAAGTGATCTCCAAGAGGTGCCCCAGGCAAGTGGCCACAGACCTGGCCCAGGTCATCCTGGCAGCAAGGTGCTCTGCATAAAATCCTTGAAGGGTATGGTATCCAAGCCAGGGCCAGGCGTGGGTTAGGTGGGGGTGCTGGGCCCGCTGGTGGGGAAAGCAGGCTGAGGGACTTCAACCAGTGGCCATCCACCTCATGAGCTTGTCCTGACTTGGAGAGACAGCACATGTCTTGAGGATGCAGCTGCAGATATAACAGATCTGTCTGTGGCAGAGAGAGATGGTGGGGTGAGCGGGATTGGATTAGGGGGTACCATCTGCAGGGTGCCAATGGCATGCTGGCTCCCATGATGGGCTCAGATCTCTGTTCTGTCAGTCTCAAGCTGTGTGCCCTTGGACCAGCTATTTAGCCCCTTCCTCGATTTTCCCATCTCTAAAGTGAGGGTAATGATAGTGTCTACTACATAGGCTGCTGTGTGTTAAGTGCATAGAACAGCTGGCGCATGGTGAGGCTGCTTCGGTGCTAGTGGCAATTCCTTGTGGCCCCTTCAGGGATCTCCCAGCTGCGCCTGGCAGGCAAGGGCCCCTTCAGGGTTTCCACACTACCCAGTGCCACTCTCAACCAGTCACCCTCTTACACCTGCTCCCAGGGCCCATGTGTGGCCTACTGCCCAGGGAGGAAAGGAGTGCTGGCTCTGGGGTGGTGGTTATGAGGCTGGGGGCTCTGAAATGCCAGAAGCACGGCCCCTGGTGTGAGAGGAGAGGACAGGAGGAGGTGGGGTTCCAGAGTAGCAGAGACACTAAACAGGGAGATCCTCCCAGGGCTGAGCCGAGCACACCTGCTGGTCACCAAATGCCCAGGGTTGGGCATCAGAGACAGCCTCATATGGGCCAGAGCTCCTTAGCTCTGTGTCACAATGCCGAGGTGTCTTTCATTATCTCAGGGGCCATTGTGAAAACATCTGTGTGCCAGGAAGCCCTGCTGAGAAGGTGGAAGTAGGCGTCACAAAGTCAGAAATACTGATGGGTTTGGTTCCACTCTGGAGAGGCAGGTTGTAGGGGATGGATCTGGATACTGATTCTGGCTGCAGGACCAGCATGCCAGGGCCTTCAGAATCCTCCAATGGCTCATGGAGATGGACAGGTATGCTGACCCACTCGGGAGCACAGCTACCTCCCACAGGAAGGACCCTCTCCCAGGAAGAGGGCAGGGGATCAGTGCAGAGCAGCTCAACAAAACCTCCACAGTTTGCCTGGCAAGTGGTGCATTAGTGGCTGAGCTGGAAGCAGTGGCAGCCTGTGGTGTTCTAATGCCATTGTCAAAAGGTGTAGAGAGGCAGCACTTAGGGCGTGAGGTGCAGACTATCAGTTCATCTGACCTGTTAAGGATTCTCAGAAAAGCCCCGACTTAGGAAGGGGTGGAAATCGTGACCCCGGAGGAAGCCCAGGCCTGCAGCTAGCTACTGTGTGGCCTTGGACAAATTGCTTCAACTCTCTGGGTTTACCCTTCCTCTTGTTATAATAAGGACAACGACTACATAATGATAGCATTAACCACCCTGCAGCACTTACTATATTTGAGTGACTTTAGCACATTATCTCATGTAATCCTTATGACAACCCTATGAAATAGATATTATTATCCTCATTTTGCAGATGAGAAAATGAAAGTTCAAGGAGGTTAAGTAACGTGTTCAAGGTCACTCAACAAATAAGGACTTTAAACCCTGGAATGGCCAGTTCCAAAGCACCTGCTAAAACTCCCAGCTGGGATCCCTCTGGGCCAGTTATGTGCTCCATCCTCAGCATGAAAAATTGAGAGAGGTTGCCTAGGTTCCTTTGCACTCCACCTCACCGCTGCTTGAGGGCTTGGGCTCTCAGCTTTGTGCACAGGGGATAGGCAGAGATGGCCCTAGTCCACCATCAGGCCCTGCATGACATGGAGCAGTAGGAGCCCTGTGGCCTCCACAACCCACACTGTTGCTTGCTCTTGCAGGCTCCAGAGGTCTTTTGACTTGTCTAAGAAGGGCTACTGATTGTCATCTATTTCTCACATCTCAGCAATAGCATGCTGGCTTGAGTTTAAACTGAGCCCTCCTTTGCAAAAGCTTAGTCCATACATTCTTCACACAGCAACTTCCTAATCATCCATTTAATAAAACAATAACTCCTATGAAAACCTCTACAAAGGGCCTTTTTGTCCAAGGCTCATTTAATGCTCACAGCCAACCAGCAGGGGATATTACTATTTTCATCATTTTGGTGGTCAACCGAGGCAGAAAGGTGACCAACAGCAGGCACTGCAGAGTCCTCTGTGGCTCCTCGATGACCAGATGGGTAGCCTTGGACAAGTCACCCATTTGTCGGAGCCTGTTTTTTTCTCATGTATAACCTGGAGGTAATTGTGGGGACTAAAAACAGAGTGGGTGTGCAATGCTTTGCACTGCTGCAGAGTAAGCACTCAAAACCAACAGCTTTTATTTTCTCTTTTTCAGGTCCGATTTTTTTTTTTTTTTTTTTTTTTTTGAGACAGGGTCGTACTCTGTTGCCCAGGCTGGGTGCAGTGGTGCCAAATCCCAGTTCACAGCAGCCTTGATCTCTCAGGCTCAAGTGATCCTCCTGCCTCAGCCTCCCGAGTAGCTAGTATTACAAGTGGCACATCAGCATACCTGGCTAACTTTTTAAATTTTTTTATAAAGATGGGGTCCCACCATATTGCCCAGGCTGGTCTCAAACCAACTTTTAAAAATAGCCTTTATTTTTTAGAGTGGTTTTAGGTTCACAGCAAAATTAAGCAGAAAGTACAGAGTGATCCCAGATACTCCCTGCCCACACACGTGCATAGGGTCCTCCACTGTCAACAGCTCCAACCAGAGTGGTGCATTTCTTTCCATCAATGAACCTGCACTGACTTATCATTATCACCTGGATTCCACAGTTTACACTAGGATTCCCTCACTTACAGACATGCAGTTAAGTTTTTTCCATGTCTTTTTGTGGTTTCATGGCTCATATTTTTTTTTTTTTGTAGCACTGAATACTGAATAGTATTCCATTGTCTGGATATACCCCAGTTTATTTATTCAGCATCTACTGAGGGTCATCCTTGTAGCGTCTAAGTTTTAGCAATTGTGAATAAAGCTGCTATAAAATTGGTGTGCAGGTTTCTGTGTGGATGTACATTTTCAGTTCCTTTGGGTAAATACCAAGGAGCATAATTGCTGAGTCGCCTGGTAACAATATGTTTAATTTTGTGAAAAACCACCAAACTGTCTTCCAAAGTATTTGTTCTGTTTTGCATTCCCACTGGCAATGAATGAAACTTTATTTTATTTTATTTTTTGAGACAGGATTTTGCTTTGTCATCCAGACTGGGGTGCAGTGGCCCAAACATGGCTCACTGCGGCCTCAATCTCCTGGGCCCAAGTGATCCTCCTGCCTCTGTCCCCCAAGTAGCTGGGACTACAGGCACACACCACCATGCTCTGCTATTTTTTGTATTTTTTGTAGAGATGGGTTTTTGCCATGTTGCCCAGGCTGCTCTCAAACTCCTGAGCTCAACGATCTGGCAGCCTTGGCCTCCCAAAATGCTGGGATTACAGGTGTGAGCCACTGCACCCGGCCGAGACTTTTATTTTAAATCACAGATGAAAGTGACTTGCTTAAGATTACACAACTATTAGTTGGTAGAGCAGCACTTCTGGTTCCATACTCTGGGTAGTTTCTGTTTGACCACACTGTCCCCTCAGCTAGACAAGCCAATCCCATGCCCTTACAAACACTCCCACATTTCCTGACCCTTGCTTTTGAGGCCTCATTCTTGGTGCAGAAGCTTCCTGAGGCATCCTTCTTCTGCTCCATGAAGGAAAGACTGTCATCCATCCAGGTCCTGTGTCTGAGAAGCTTGCGATGCTCTTGCAGTGCCCTGGCATGCGCAGGGGCCAATGTCCAGTTGTCCAAGCTTACCTGTGCCAAGAGAGGACCCGGGTGGCTCTGCAAGGCCCTCTTTCTAGTCAGAAGAGACCCGGCCAGCCCCAGAATCTGAGGAGTCACTGGAACGTCATCAGGGACTAGGAGAGGAAAAGGCCCCCATGGCGCTCCCCTCTCTCCAGATCCAAGCTCTTTCTTTGTCTCTTTTTGATGCGAAATTCACATAACATAAAAATTAACCATTTTAGGCCAGGCATGGTGGCTCATGCCTGTAATCCCAGCACTTTGGGAGACCAAGGTGGGTGAATGACATGAGGCCAGGAGTTCGAGACCAGCCTGGCCAACATGGAGAAAGCCCATCTCCACAAAATAAATAAAAAACAACGAAATTGACCATTTTAAAGTGAACAATTCAGTGGCATTTAGCACATTCACGACGCTGTGCAGCTACCACTTTTATCTAGTTCCAACACTCTCATCACTCCAAAGAGAAACCCCATCCCTGTTAAGCAGCCAGTGTCGCTTTTCGCCCTCTTCCTAGCCCCGGACAGCCACCAATCTGTGTTCTGTCTCTTTGGGTTTACCCAGTCTGGTAATGGAATAAATGGAATCATACAACATGTGGCCTTTTGTGTCTGGGTCCAAGTTATTTTCCATTACTCCCTGAGGAAGGAGGAGGAGAAGGGACCTCTTCTGCCTTTGTCTCCCTCCCCGTCCCTTGTCCACCTTGCCCTGTGCGCCCACCAGCAGCACCTGTGGCTCAGCTCCTCCATTCTATGCTATTTCCTATTTCTCTTTTTTATTTTTTGAAAAAGGGACTCACTCTGTTGCCCAGGCTGGAGTGCAGTGACGTGACCGTAGCTCACTGCAGCCTCAACCTCCCAGGCTCAAGTGACACTCCCACCTCAGCCTCCTGAGTAGCTGGGACTACAGCATGCACCACTACGGCCAACTAATTTTTAAAACTTGTTTTTTGTAGAGACTGAGTTTCGCCATGTTGCCCAGGCTGGTCTCGAATTCTTGGCCTCAAGTGATCCTCCTGCCTCTGCCTCCCAATGTGCTGGGATCACAGGCATGAGCCACCATACTCAGCCTCCTATTCCTTTTTTTTTTTTTCAATTTTGTACATTTTTAATTCTAAATTTTCTCATTACACAAATAAAAAGTGAAGTAATAGCTGTTGAAATGTTGGCTCTATTAGCATAAAAAGAATTTGCAAACGGTTAAATATTTCCAATTTCATATCAATGTCATCAGTTGCTTTGAAGGAAAAAAACAGTTAATTCCAATAGTGTTTGATTTTTATTTTTCATCTAATTCATAACATCCTATTCCTTTTAATTACCCTTAGCAGAGTACTTTGAGGAGTCATAGATGCATTCAACAAATAGCCCATAGGCTAGCAGCGGGGAGAGACAGGTTAAGTGTCATTAAAACTGTGATAAGGCAACACTAGCAGTTTTACAGAGAGCCAGGGGACCCAGAGGAGAGACAACTAATTCAGCCTGGAGGTGAGGCTGGTGAGGGAAGACAACACGGAGGAGACAGATGCGGGGCGGGGGAGGGCAGGCCGGGTCTGTCTTGTTCACTGTTCCTCAGCACTCAGGGTAGTTCCTGGCAACTAGAACGGGGATGAGTGAACAAGTTAATGAATCAAGCAGGCAATCTATCAGCCAAGAGCTGAAGAATTAATAGGAGTTGTCTCTACCAGAAAAAATGGGTAGAGCATATCTGGAGACTTGTAGGCAAGAGGGTCAGCCCTTTTATTACACTGAGTGGTATTTCGGTCTAGATGAAGGTTGAAGAAGATGGGGGGTAAGGACAGAAGAAGTTGGGGCCAGATCATGCAGGGCCTTGGAAGCGACATAAAGGAGTTTGACTGAGTAAAAAGAGCGACCTGAGTAAAAAGAGGGACCACTGAAGGGTTTTGCGCAGATGTACGTTTTAGAAACACATCTGTCTAATCCAGGCTAGGGATAATGATGACCTAACGAGGCTCCCAGCAGACAGAACGTCATTCTTGCACTCCTGCTATTGGTGTTCTACTGGAAAACAGAGGTGTTTAATCAAAAATAACCATAAAAAAATTAATGAATTAATCATAAGGATGCAAGGTGCTCTGAGGGATGCTATGAGTCAAGAAAATCCTTCTCAAGACCAGGAGGGACTTTGAAATCAAAACTTGGGAGATGAACAGGAGTTGGCCAACACTGAAGCTTTTGGGAACGTCCTGAGCAACCTGTGGTGAAGGAAGTGAGAGAAGTCCAGGGTAGTTGCGGTGAAGAGTGTGAGGCTGGGAGACTGATCGGATGAGGCTGGGGCGATAAGTAGGGCTCAGACCAGAACGACCCTATTACACATTTTGGACTTACCCTAAGCAAAATAGGAAGTCCTTGATGATGTAAACAGGACCCTATTTTGAAAAATAGGATTAATTGCATTTCTCTTTTGCATTTCTGTGCATGTGACCTTCTTCCTGCTCAGCTCAAACATCTGCTTCCTTGGGGAAAGGGACTAGGATTATCAAAGAAAAAAATGGAGAGGAAGATAATGAATAGCTTCTGACCTCCAAAATAAGATTTTTCAGCCAGACAATAGTCTCAAAAGACATTATTTTTAAAAGAAAAAAGATGTTCTGTTGTCTTTAGCTCCCTCTTTAAGATATCAAGAAGCCCTGACAGAATTAATCATGGGGCTTTACCTAAAGAAAAGAATAGAAGAGAAACCCCTGACCTTTAGTCCAAAGGATGGCAAGGAGGAGGCCAGAGAGAAAGCAGGTGGGAAGGAAGTCAGATATGCGTCCTAATCTTCTATCTTCCATTGGAAGTCCCAGAGGGTGAAGATGCCTTAGAAGAGAGAGGAACAGGTGGTCCTTTTAGGTCCCTGGGAAGAGATTTCCTTGAATATCTATCCAGAGGTCTTCACATCAAAGTAAACTTGGTGGTTTGGTGTGGTTAGTCACAGAGAGGGTTTGAACTTAACCTTCTCAAGCCACCCTGGGTTCCCATGTGGTGTGAAAATGATGTCTACGCTAGATCTTTAGCTGTGGTTTTTGCTTAAGAAACTGACTAGAAGCAAATAGATTGAAAACCTACCAAGCTTTTAAAGAAAATGTATAAAATTTTTTTTAAAAAGCAGTGAGTATGGTCTGTCATAACCTTAACAGTTAAATCCTAAAACAATCCAGGGGCCCCAGAACCTGCCGCAGCAAGAAGTAGGCTGTGAATACCCGGGGAGCCCACTCACCAATGCCCATATCGAGGGTGGCCATGGAGGTTAGTGAACCAGGAAGAACCTCCCAGAAGGAAGAGCCCAGAGACACAGACAATGAACAAAATAATTATTCCCAGAGAGCAAATTTTTCCCCCAACCTCTGGCTCCAGACTTTCAGATAAGAGAAGAAAACCTTGTATGTTCAAGGTTCTGTTGATTTGGGTTTTCAGGCACAGGCGGCTGCATGGAATCCTAACGGAAGTACCTCTCCAATAGGCTTGGAGTAGGAGCCTGAAGTAATCAGTTTGGTTTTAGGGACCCAGAACCTGCAGCAGCAGCAGGAAATAGCAGGCTGTGAACACTCATATCAGTTTGTTTTGGCTGCAAAGTGGGGACTGGAGATGACTGTGGTTGTCTGGATGAGAGATGAGAGGGGCTTATACTAGGATGGAGGCAGTGGGGCAGGATAGAACATTCACACGGGGAGCAGACAGGACTTGGGGGTGTCTGCATTGATATGAGGACTGAGCAAGAGATGAGAGTCAAGGACAGGGAGAGGAAAGTTAAAAACAGAAAAAGGCATTTCACAGAAAAAGTGGTTAGCAGTGCCAAATGCTGGGCAGTAATCAAAGATGATAAGGGCTGAGATGTGTCTGTGTAAGATTTTGTCACAAGGAAGTACAGAGGCTCAGGGCAGAGAGGGGAAGCCAGACTTCAGCGGGCTGACAGAAGAGTGGCAGTGAGGAAGTGGATGCAGTAAGTAAACATAACTTCACAAGACTCTCAGCTGTGAAGCTGAAATGCGAGTGGGGCCAAGGTCGGTTTTTGTCATGTTTAAGATGGATGATACTTGATCACATTTAATGCTGATGGGAAAGGGCCCTTGAAAAGACTGACGTCAACCACAAAATAAGAATAGGAGGAAGCTGGTGGAAGAGGGTCCCTGAGAAGAAGGAGCACGGTGGGTACCCAGAGCTGGGCAAAGGAAGGGGCTTGGGGGCAGGAGGGGCCCTTCTCTGTCAAATCAGGAGAAGGAGGGAAGGTGGGAGACAGATGGCAGCGATGGGAGATGGAGGAGATGCCCTCTGATGGCCTCCATTTTCTGTGAGGTGGAAGGTGACATCGTCTGTAGAAAGTGAGGGGGCTGGGGGGCCTGAGAAGAGGGGAGCCCCTCTGGGGAACAAGAGAACACTGGCCGGGAAAACACAGAGGGCTCAGGACCAGGGCAGGGTGGAAACATGACGTGATGGTGGCACCCATCTGCACGTCCTCCAGCTCCTGGCATTAAATGCCTAAAACCGAACTCAGGACCTGGGCCTCCTGCCCCCGACCCAGCTCCTCCTCTTGCCTCCCAGTTTTTATTCCTGGAACCAGACCTCTCAGACTCGGCTTCCCCAGGAACGTCCTTCTGACATCACTGCTAGTGCGGACTCTTGCGGGGCCTCCTTCCTCCCCCCGCCCACCTTTCCTGCACACCTGCAGCAATAACCTCTCTAGAGTGGGACTGCGGCTGTGTCACCCCTCCGCCATGCAGCTGCCCCATTTGCAGCTTCCAATACCTAGAAATAAATCTCTCATTTCTTCTTACTTTTGGGGTCTGTTTAAATGCCACTGATTCTGGAAAGCCCTTTCTAACCATCCCCCAGACTAGGGAAAGTCCCCTTGGTACCTGCCCCCATGGTGCCTTATACATCTCTGTGAGACACTCGTGAACCTGTAATTACTTATTCTACAATGGCCAGTAGCCAGGACAATGGCCTGGGGTGGGGGTGGGGGCCCTAAGGCTTCCTTGTCCCCTCTGTCTTCCTGGAGCCGAGAACAGTGCCTAGCACAAATAGGCACTCAATAAAAGGCGTTGATAGACTGACTATAGAAAGGTTCAAGCCTGCCTTAGGTTGGCAGCTTAAATTTCCAACATCCCCAATCAGCCCATGCTCAGGACATCCAGGCCTCCTGCACAGCCCCCAAAGCCAACCCATGTTCTCTTCCCCTTGTGTTAGATTGTTCCCTTGGCCAGGCACGCTTGCTCTCTTCTTTATCCATTTTTTTTTTTTTTTTTTTTTTTGAGGCAGGGTCTCACTTTGCTGTCCAGGCTGGAATGCAGTGGCATTATCACAATTCACTGCAGCCTCCACCTCCTGGGCTCAAGCGGTCCTCCCACCTCAGCCTCCTGAGTAGCTGGGATCACAGGTGTATGCAACCATGCCCAGCTAATTTTTTAAGTTTTTATAGAGACGAGGTCTTGTCGTGTTACCCAGGCTGGTCTTGAACTCCTGGCCTCAAGTGATCCACCTGCCTTGGGCCTCCTGAAGTGCTGGGATTACAGGTGTGAGCCACCGTGCCCGGCTCCACTCCATCTTACCCATAGCCATCCCACTTTCAGGCTCCAATTTAGGATCCTCTCCTCCATGGAATTGTCTCTGAAATCCCCCCACCTGCCACAGGCCAAAATGTCTGTGCTCCTTCTCCTTCCACTCCAACCAGATTGCAACCTCCTTGAGGGCAGCTTCTAGTTTTTAGTTCATTGCTATTTCCAGTGAAAACATTTGGCTGTGAAATAAAGAGACACCTCATTTCTAACACTGGCATCAACAGTGTCTTATAGAACTGTGTCCCAAGAGTGCCTTTGGCGGTGTCATGCACTTAGTAGGAACACAAAAATATTTTTTAATGAATATTTTCTCCCTCATCCCTGTAAGAATATAATGGTGACAGTCTCCAACTGCACACTAATTTTTTTAAATGCGGTTCTCTTATGTTTAAAACACAAGGTGTCTGTTTTTATCAGTGAATGTAGTCTGTCTTTTCAGATTTATTCCATCTTTGAGAAACAAATGCATGCCATTTGCACTGGATCAAGGTAGTAACTGTACTTGCCAGTGGAACAGACACACCACTGTGTAAGAAAAAAGGAATTTCTGGCCGGGTGCAGTAGCTAACCCCTGTAATCCCAGCACTTTGGGAGGCCGAGGCAGGTGGATCACTACAGATCAGGAGTTCGAGACCAGCCTGGCCAACATGGTGAAACCCCATCTTTACTAAAAATACAAAAATTAGCTGGGCTTGGTGGTGCATGCCTGTAGTCCCAGCTACTTGGGAGGCTGAGGCAGAAGAATCACATGAACCCGGGAGGCAGAGGTTGCAGTGAGCCAAGATTGTGCCGCTGCACTCTACCCAAACAATAGAGCGAGACTCCATCTCAAAAATAAATAAAATAAAAAGAAAAAAAAAAAGAGAGAATTTCTAATGGAGTTGAGATTTTCCAACACATCCAGCAACATTTGTCTCTTGGGTTACTGAATGAGACCATTTATATAAAGGCACATGAAAAGGTTACGAAGTATGGAAATAAAGGGGAAACAGTACCACTAGTCTCTATTAGTTTATTTTCTGTGCTAATGTTTCATGATTCTTTTTTAGTTCAGAAAATAGAGTCACTGGGATTCTCAGAAATACTACCTAAATATAAATCCATAGAGACAGAAAGCAGATTGGTGGTTGTCAGGGGTTGGGGAGGGAGGACTGGGGAGTAGTAGCTTAATGGGTTTGGGGTTTTCTTTCTGGGTGATGAAAATATTTTGCAACTAGACAGAGGTGGTAGTTGTATTATACAACATCGTGAAGGTAATAAATGCCACTGAATTGTTCACTCTAAAATGGTTCATTTTCTTCTATATGAATTCCACCACAAAACAAAGATATGTCACCTATATAATACTGAATAGTTTCCAAAGGTCCTGAGGGACAAGGCAGCGTTATGCTCTGAAATAGCAGCAGATCTGAAGGCCCCACAGCAGCCTGTACTTTGCCTTTGGAGAAAGAAGGGGGGTCCCCCGTGTCTAACCAGGGCCCTGTCCTCACAGTGCCCTCAGAGACATTCAGCCGAATGCCACTGCAGTCCAGGCCACTGCGGAGTGTTTGTGTTTTGGTTTGTTTTCCCCTTGGGCTTACAGAAGGACTTGTGAAGGTGTTTAGTTTGGTTAAGGACTTCCCACTTCCAGAGGTGGAGCCTGAAGAAGGTTCTATTTTTTTTCTTCAAGTGAGTGGAACTTTCCAGGGACAACAACTCACAGGCTATGGATAGACTACGGATGCACTTCACTGTGGCCTCTACTCATGAGGGGCCTAATGGACGAGGAGGAGGAGGATCTGCCCAATGGGCAGTCATGGGGTATAGTCCCCTCTCCACTCCAGGAAGGTTTGGCAAAGGCAGAAGCTGACTGCAAAGACTGGATGGGTTGGGTGCAATGGCTCACGCCTATAATCCCAGCATTTTGGGAGGCCGAGACGAGTGGATCACCTGAGGTCAGGAGTTCGAGACCAGCCTGGACAACATGACGAAACTCCGTCTCTACTAAAAATACAAAAAATTAGCTGGGCGTGGTGGTGGGCGCCTGTAATCCCAGCTACTTGGGAGGCTGAGGCAGGAGAATAGCTTGAACCCGGGAGGCAGAGGTTGCAATAAGCCAAGATCACACCACGGCACGCTAGCCTAGGCAACAAGAGCAAAACTCTGTCTCAAAAAAAAAAACCCGAAAAAACAAAAAAAACAAAGAAGACTGGATGGACTTGTCCTAACAGCTCACAGTGTCTCAGGAAACAGTCCTTTAGTTGTCTCATCAGGTGTAAGAACAGCATCCTAGACCAGGTACACAGTTGGCCCTGAAGGCCATCAGACCTGTGTGAGGGCCTGGCAGGGCCCTGTGGCCAGCAGGGGCTGAGCTACCCATGTACAAGTATCCCATTCACCCTTTAAACACACAGGCCAAAAGGAAAATCGCACTCTTCATTTCAAACATGGCACTGGAGCCCAGAGCCCAGTGGCTTCACCTTAATCAAGTTGCCTCCATCAACACTGTCACAAAGGTCTATGATTTCAACTACTTAAGTTTCCCTCTGACTTGAGCCCGTCACCTCTTTTCATATGCCCTCACACATACATGGTCTCGTTGCTCAACATGTTGGAAAATATCAGCTCCAGGAGAAATTCCTTTTCCCTTACATAGTGGCAGGCCTAATGAACACAGAAAGCCTGGAGACTGGGTTGTGTTCACTTGGGGAACTCTAGGTCCAGCAAAAGGGGATGGTCCCAGGGATCCCTCACCAAGACAGCTTTCCTGGGGAAGCAGATTGTGCTTAATCCTCAAAACTGCAAATTTGTTGGAAATGTCATCAAGAGTTAACCATTACCCCAGGTCACTGAACTGGTTTGGGCCGAGGCAGCCTAGAATGACAGGTGACTGCAACATTCCCCCAACAGACCGTCTTAGGTTGAGAACCCAGTAGAGGTCGCCCCTTACTTTTTTTCTCCATAAGAAACTGAAAAACTGTCTGGATGCTTTGAAAGCATTTACAGCTGCTCAGAGAAGCTTCTGACTCCATCTAATAAGCCCCTGGCAGCCATCAACCTCTCTAATTGCCCTATAGGTGAAGAGGTGGGAATTTAAATAAACAGTGGATTTTGAAGATGAACAATGTTATGGAAGGGCCTAGGCATGACAGCCAAGCATCAAAGCATGAGCACATGTGTCTCTCTTGACAACATAATCCCCAAAGCTCAGAGAAGCTGGATGTGGACCTCCCGAGCATCTGCCTCCTTGGCATTTATACCACAAGGAAACATACCAGTTACTCAAGAAAGTACAGGTAGCACTGAAACCCTCCAGATTCCTTCTGGTTCCTTGTCTACTCAGGCAGAAGAGGTCATTACAAGGCCCAATGCTACGACTCTGAGTGGCCCTGTTCCCTAATGCCCCTGGCTCACATAAAAGGAAAACGAGGCCATGTGCGGTGGCTCACGCCTGTAAACCCAGCACTTTGGGAGGCTGAGTCGGGTGGATCACTTCAGGTCAGGAGTTCGAGACCAGCCTGGCCAACATGGGGAAACCCCGTCTCTACTAAAATTACAAAAGTTACCCAGGTGTAGTGGTGCACATCTGTAATCCCAGCTACTTGGGAGGCTGAGGCAGGAGAATCAGTTGAACCCAAGTGGCAGAGGTTGCAGTGAGCCAAGATCATGCCACAGCACTCCAGCCTGGGCAACAGAGTGAAACTCCATCTCAAAAAAAAAAAAAAAAAAAAAAGGAAAAGGAAGGCATATTGTTATTCTTCTTAAGTAGGTACTCTTCTATATTATATATTATATATAAAATAAAAAAGGAAAAGGAAGGCATATTGTTATCCCTCCTGTTTACTTATATATTTTACATATATAATATAATATTATCATGACCCTGCTCCTTTACTGATGAGGAAACTAAGGGTCAGAGAGGTTAAATGGCTCTCTCCAAACCTCAATAGCCAGTGAGTATTGGGGGCAGGCCTAGGATTTAGGGTCCCTGTGACTCCCAGCTCAGTGCTCTTGGTGTCTCCAGAGAATGAGGCCTATACACTGAGCTTGTCTAAAGCATGTGGGAGGCCAGGCATGGTGGCTGATGCCTGTGATCCCAGCACTTTGAGAGACTGAGGCAGGAGGACTGCTTGAGTCCAGGAGTTCAAGAAGCGCCTGGGCAACATGGTGAAACCCTATCTCGACAAAAAATACAAAAATTAGCCAGGCATGGTGGCAGATGCCTGTAGTCCCAGTTACTTGGAAGGCTGAGGTGGGAGGATCACCTGAGCCGGAGAGGTCAAGGCTGCAGTGAGCCATGGCTGTGCCACTGCATGCCACCCTGGGTGATAGAATGAAATCTTATCTCAAAATAAAATAAAATAATAAAGCATATTGGAGCAAGTGGTATAATTTCTAGGGCTAAGTCTCAGCCAGCTGCCAGCCACCATGGGCCTTAACTCATGACAGGGTTTCGTCCCTATCATTCGCACTACAAGGAAAGAGTACCCCAGAGCAGATGTTCCCCAATCACCCTGGGATTCCTGGTCTACAGGATAATGGGGGCCTGAGATGACACTTTTAAGTGCTCAACACCTAACAGCCTGTGACTTTTCAAAAACAGAAGTCTAGAGATGTGATCACCCAACATATTTGCACGGTTTTCTGAGCCCTTTCCTGCTCGTGATCTCATCCAACCACCCTGACAACCTTAGCCATACATTTAATTGGTTCTTTGAAGATTTCTGGGTTTCCAGAGTCAACCTGTTCAAACAAAATACCCCAAGGAAGGGATAGCACCTTATACTTTTATTGGCTCACAGCTTGGCAAGAGTTGGCAGCTGGCTGAGAATTAGGCCCTGAGAAGGAAACAGGATCAGGAGGGATTGGGAAGGGGTCAAAAGGGAAAAGAAGAATGAGACGGGGCGGTAGACATGCCCCGATGCCCTCCCAGAAGCCCACCTCACAGCTTTGCAGAAAGAGGTTCTAAGCAAGCAGAAGGAAGTTCCCAGCTCCCCCAGCCCCCCTGCCACCCCACCAGCAGAAAAACCAACTTTACCCATGAGGGCCAAAGGTAGAGAGGAATAGAAGAAAAAGAGAAGAAAAAGGAGAGATGGGAAGACAGAATAAACCAACCATCAGAGGCTCTTCAATCTTAATTCATTTTATTCTACAAAATGCTACTCAACTGAAAGTGGAAATGCTAACCCCCCTCCCCCAAAAAAATCGCAAGGGAAAGAAGTTTTAATATGTTCTTTCTTCCATAGCAGCAAGCTTTTTCTAACAAGCTTTCTTTAGTGCAAATACTGTAGGCTTGTATTACATATAGTAAAACAACAAAACAACAACAACAACAAAAACCACCACCAGAAAGGCTTCCAAACAAAGCTACTCCTCAATTTTCAAAACTATACAAAGATTTTGAGCTTGCGGTTCTGCCTGGAAGGTCTATTTAGGAGACTCTCCAATGGGACCATTTCACCATTACTTAAAAAAAAAAAAAAAAAAAAAGTGCCCAGAAAGGTAATTAAATTCCCCATAGAGCCATATGAACCATATACAACTTGTTTGCCTCCAGAGTCTTACAGCTGACTTTACTCCACGTCATTAACATATCTCAAATACAGATGCACAAAGCTTATTTTCTACTATACACCAAAATACTATATATATACACATCTCCCACGGCAGAAAAGACACCCTGATACCCTACTCTTTACACAAAGTCAAATATTTTCTTCCTCAAAATCAAGTAAACACAAACTAAAATAAATGGAATAAACTTTTAATCATACAGAGAAAATAATTTTTGAGAATCAGGACAGGATCTTCCACTGTGTTCTCTTACAATGTAGATGTCTTGGCGACCACTGTCCCCAGAGGAATGAAAATCCACCTTTAAAAACAGAACCTTTTATACAGTTTATACAGCACAAATCACAAATCACTTTAGAAACAAAAATGTGTTATCCTAAATTTAAAAAAAAAAAAAAAAAGGAAGCGAGAAGAGAGAGAGGAACGGAGTATTTTAATGCTATCAGTTTCTATTCAGGCTTGATACAACATAAAGAAGATGTAAACATTTAAAATAAATAATAAAATAAATGTCAATTTCTTCTCCCCCTCCCTTTCCCATAACCCTCTCAAAATTTGATCCAGCCCCTCCTGAACATGTCGTCAAGCATTGGATAAATTAAACCCCTTGGTTGATGTATGGCCAAAACACTAGAAGCATAAGAAGATGCCAGATTCATAGTGGGATGACTGGGTTTCCTTTTAAAAAGCTACAGGACACAGGCACGCCTGGAAATGTATACACACATGCGCACACACACAGCCCAACCTGTCAATAAATAGTGAGATGCTGGCTTTTAATATGAATGCCAAAACAACTCAACAAGCAGAAGGTAGCAAAGACTCCTTAAGTTTTTTAAAGAAAATTCACACATCACATATTCTATTGGTCCCCAAATTCTCTAAGGACTTGGGTTACCCCTCTGACCATCTGAGGAGTGCACGGGAGCACATGGTGGGGTAGAAGGAGAAGTATGGAGTGGGAGAATATTGTAGGGGATAAGTCCTTGAGAACAAACATCAGACTGAAGGCAATCTTACCTTGGATCTTGAAGACAGACCTTCTCACCTCTAAGTGTTTCTGTTTATCCATTACTTAGGGGCCTTTTATAAAGAGATGTCCTCATCCCTTAGTCTCATCCTAACGAGGATCTATATAAAAGCGCCTAACACAGTGCCTGGCACATCGTAGGTGTATTCTTTTCCTTCCTAAAGGGGGCACAAAGATGTCTGATCAGGAAAGGAAATCGACCTGAAAGTTAAATGGCGAGATTGCATTTGCACTGTTGGTCCATCAAGGAAAAGAGAAAAAAAGTCCCAGTGCTCCAGACAATTCAACCACACTTGGAATCAAGTGAGAGGAGAGGGAGATTCCTTTCCCCAGAGCCTGAGAAACAGAAGCAGCAGCCCCAGATGGCTTTTGACTTTGAGATGCTTGTGTGACACACCTGGCCCCCAACACAGGCAGAATGATGTTTGACTCTGAAAACCTCCCCAGTGAATTATCTGCTTGGAGCCGGCTCCAGCAATTTCCTAAGCCTCAGCCGGGATCGCCTCTCCTTCCTGTGCCAGCAGCTTCCCCCATTCAACTGGCCAGGGAGAGGACTATTCGCAGAAAGACTGGCCAGGAGGCCAAGAAGACGGTGTGTTTTACACGAGCTGATCAGAGCGCCCGCCCTGTGCCGTCCCAGAGCTGCCTGCAGCCCAATCGGAGTCCACACCTCCGAGCTGCCTCGCGAGTGGAGCCACAAGAAGCACAGAAGTTCCTAAGCCAAACAGAAAGGCAGCCCCAATGCAGCTGTTCCCATAGCTGGAGCCATGGAGGTGTCTGGTGATTCTGGAGCAAGGGTGTGTGTGTGTATGAGAGAGAGAACTTGGAGGGCAAGCCATAAGGAAGTAAAACTCAGGATATGCTCACGACTTAGGTGTGAATATTCAGTCTTCCCCAAATCAAATCACCTCTGACTTTGGGGAAGCTGAACGACCTCCTATGACAAAGCCTGGGGGTCTTCACAGGGCACGTAGCTCAGAGTCCTCTTACAGTCCTGTGTGTTGGCTGGACGTTTGCCTTCTGCTGGTCCCAACACCAACACAGCTTGAAATCTGAACTGAAGCCAAGTTGTGCCTCAGGAATTTGTCCAGCCTGGCCACAAATCAGGCTGTGACCTGCACGGGGATCTTTGCTGCACAAAGTGGGGTATAAGGGGGCTTTTAGAAATAAAAGACAAGAAAGCAGCTTCATTTAAGAAATATCTATATGCACAAAAAAGAAAATAGCTCCCACTTGGCTACAAATACCACTTGAGATGATTACCCCTGTGAGAGCTGAGTGCACCCCAGTTTTCTTTGCCCATCTCCTGCTACTCCTGGCTCATTCTGCTGCTTGGATTCATCTCAAGCCAGAAACCCAACTGCCCAATCTTCTTAGAAGGGTCCCTCCCAGAGCCCCTGGGAAATCGGGAGAGGGGCATCACAGCCAAGGGATGCAGGAAATAACATTTTTAAAGTATTTTAAACAAAATCCTTTTTCTTTGAAACCCTCCTTTCTGCATCACTTGTACAGGTCACTTCCAGTCCCACTGGCCCATGTACTTTAAGCATACGGCTGTTCCACTCTGTGTGTCTAGTGCACGAAAACAGGTCATGTTCATGAAATAACATGCGAGGGAACAGCTGTGTGAATGTGTCACTGCTTTCTCCACGGGGGATCTTAATTATCTTTCAAACGAGGATACTGTGACCTCTAGAGCTGAATCCCCAGCAGCAGAGTCTTTGCAGAGCACAAGCCCCGCAGAGGCTGGTTCTGGCCAGGAGCTACTCCCTGGATTCCTGTCAAGGCCCTGCTGGACAAGAAACTCAGCAGGAGCCATACCCTGGGGAGAAAAGGCTCAGAGGGGTGGGCAGCAGGGACCCTGCTGAGCTGTGCTCCTGCTGGAGGCCAGGGGGACCCTTCCCCAACCCCGTGAAAGGGGGCAGCTCTCCTGCAGTGGGAAGCAAAACATCCTATCTCCAATTCCAGCAGCCAGAAAGATTCAACAGACAACCAGGAATGGCGCATGAGCCACAAGCCACAGCGACAGCTCAGGCCAGCTGTTCACAGCTTGCTTGCTGCCTGGGCCAGAAGAGTGCACTGGGGTGGGGACAGGGGAGTGTAAAAGAGAAAGCACTTGATCCAGCAGGTGGCAGATGACCACAGAGGGCAGGAAAGGCCCGGTGCCCTGCGGGGAGGTGAGCAGCCAGGACAGGCTGAGCGGGTGCTGGGGCAGCAGCTGCTGCAGACGCCACTCCAGTGACGGCCTCCCGCCTCCCTCCCCTGCCTCTCCATCCTCAGCAAATGCTTCTTTGAGGCTTGGGGAGGGGCTGCCTGGCAGCATCTGGGGAAGGTCCAGGCCCACGCTCATTAAATCTCTGTGGGTGGCGTCACCCTGAGAGCCAGGGTGGGGGAAAGGCGGAGCCCGGCAGGGACTTGGAGTATAATGTGTGGCTCCTAGGGAGGGACGCCTCCCTGGTCCGGAGAGAAGGGTCCAGGGGCAGAATGGCAAGGCAGTAATTACAGGAGACGCCCTACTCAAGACACCAGGTGAAGGGAAGCTGGCTAGGACACCCGTGTGGCTTTGTTGGCATGCTTCCTGGCCTGGTAATTAGGCGTTTGGCAAACCCAACCTGTGCCCCACTGTCTCACTCACACCCTGTCTTCTGGCCAAGCCGTTCCTCCAGAAGCCGTCTCCGAAGGTGGGCAGGAAGGGTCCTCTGAGCCTCCCAGTGATGGCAGCATCTCCTTGAGAGCTCAGGGAGCCCCGCTGGGAGTTCTGGAGATGATGACTGGGAGGCGTCAGGGTAGGGAAGGCTCTGTATTGCACTTTGTCCCCTTCTGGACAAGTCAGCCCCAGCAGAAGAGCCACCTGCTGCCCCATCTCCAGAAATGAAGAGCTTTAATATTCAGACCACCCAGATGAAATGTCATGGCAAATTTGATAAAAACCAAGAGGGAGTGAAACTGACGCTGGGGGAGGAAAGGGTCAAGTCGAGGGAAGGTGAAACCAAAAGGCACTGAGCATGCGTGGTGGGGCAGGGAAGGACACCATCACTCCAGAGACAGTATGGTAACAAAGGGACAGGAATGGTCCAGGCCAGCTTCAGGCTCTTCAGAAGCCAGAGAGATGTCCAAGTCTACCAAACCGAGTTCTCCAAGGCTTTTCAAGAAATGGGATTTGCTTGCAAGATGAATGAGGGAGGAGGTCCCATGGCTTCTAAGAGATCAACCCAAGTCTTCCAATACTCACTGCTAAGTCCCACCTGGGTCCCCCAGAGCCAGGAAGCTCCCTGGTGGCAGGTCCCCCTCTTGCCCTCACGGCCCTGGAGCGCTTGAAGGTGCTGGTCCCTGGGAAGGAGGAGCGAGGAGGACCCCCTCCGGAGCTGGGGAGGGAGGTGCACTGGGTTACAGAGCCAGCAGAGTGGGGGAGTTCAAGGAGTCTGATGATTGGTCCCCGCTGCTACTGCTTCTGCGGTGAGCCTTGGAGCAGGATTCGGAGGGAGATGCGGGTGACTCCTGCTCCAGGACGCTAGGATAGGTGAAGACGAGGTTCGAGGTGCCCGGAGTGACAGCAGGTGTGGAGGTCACCACGATGGGGGTGTGCAGGGGCTCCTCACCGTAGAAGCCCCCAGCAATGCTGATGGGCTTGATGACAGAGCGCTGGGCCTTGTCCAGCCCCGCCGACGAGGACGAGGGGCTGTCCTCTTCCAGGGGCTCCTGTTTCACCACTACAGCGCCCACCGAGCCACCCCCACTGCGCATGGGCTGCAGCCCAGGGGCTGGGGGCGATCGGCGCTCCTCGGGGCTAATCTTGCACACTGGGCCGTGAGCCACCAACATGAACTCCAGCTTCTCCTTCTCCTTCTGCAGCTCAGCAATCTCCTTCTGCAGGCCTGACTTCTCCTCCTCCAGCTCCTCTGTCTCCTGCCACGGAAAGAGAGGGATGTGAGGGACAGCAACCTGCCAGGGACCAATCTAGGCAGGAAAGAGAAAACCAGTAATGTTCTCAGACACTGTGAGAGCAGAGGCTCACACACCTAACCACAGACCCCGCTGGTCTGAGTCTCTCAGTCACCTGGAGGCTCAAGATTCCTTTCATTTCCAAAGAAGGAAAGTCAGCTTGGAGAGGGGGTAAGACAACAACTGCAGCTGCCATAACCCAGCACCTACTTTGTGCAGGGCACAGTGTTAAGCATTTCAGAGATGATCTCATTCAATCTTCCAGGAGTTTTTTGGAAGCAGATGTTATCATCGCCCCATTTTGCAGATGAGGAAACTGAGGTTCAGAGGGGTTCTGTTAATTTTCCAAAGTCACCGAGCTAGCAGGTGGGGTAGCCCAGATTTGATTCCCAATGTATCTGACTCCAGGGTCTATGTTCTATGGCCTTGGTGCCAGGACTGCCCCCTCGGTACCCCTGAGGGGTGAGTACTGCAGAGATCTGCATGGAGAAGGGGGTACGGAACACAGCTCTACCCACCTCTCTCCTTCTCTTACTCCCCAACCCCATGCCAGCCCACCTGTGGATGGATAAACGCTAAGCCCTAGGCTGCTAGAGAGTGGAGACTTTGTCATGCACACTCCTGTATCCCTAGCACCTAGAACAGTGCCTGGCTTCTCAGAAGTGCTCAGCAAATCCCTGTGGGATTATCACAGCCTCTCCTCCTCCCTTTTTTCACTCCAATTTCTTTCTTTTTTTTTTTTTTGAGACAGAGTCTCACTCTGTCTTACCCAGGCTGGAGTGCAGTGGCATGACCTTGGCTCACTGCAGCCTCTGCCTCCCGGGTTCAAGCTATTCTCCAGTCTCAGCCTCCCGAGTAGCTGAGACTACAGGCACCTGCCACCACACCCGGCTAATTTTGTATTTTTCATAGAGATGGGGTTTCACCACATCGACCAGGCTGGTCTTGAACTTCTGACCTCAGGTGATCCACCCGCCTCAGCCTCCCAAAGTGCTGGGATTACAGGCATGAGCCACGGCGCCTGGCCTTTTGCTCCAATTTCTTAAGCACATATTTCAGGACTCCCAGAACCCTCAGAGAACATTTGGTTCAGCCACCACGCTTGACACAGAAGTAACGTGACAGCCCGAGAGGGCCTGTGAGGATGCCAGGGTCACCCCGCAAGGACCTCAGCCCCCTTCTTTCATCCCCAGCCAGAGAAGCAGAAGCGAGCAAGTGCACGTGGAGGGGCCGCTGTGGGAGGGGAAGAGGTGTGTGTCACCAGCCTCCTCCCCACGTTTTCCCTAACATGGATTCCTGTTCATCAGTGAGGACATACGGGCAAGGGCTTCGTTCAGCAGAGGA
The DNA here is from genome assembly GCF_000001405.40 of Homo sapiens. Classification (NCBI taxonomy): domain Eukaryota; kingdom Metazoa; phylum Chordata; class Mammalia; order Primates; family Hominidae; genus Homo; species Homo sapiens. The sequence goes on along the minus strand of NC_000002.12, from coordinate 28,410,549 downwards.
CAGCATATTCCGGAGTGAAAAACAGTTTCCGTCTGTCTCAAGGGTCTGACGAACGTCATGAGCTTCTGAGAGGCTTCCTGTGGAGGATGTGGCTCAGGGGCCTGGGTGGCTGGGTCAGAGGGCGGGGGAGGTGGGGGAGGCAGGGGAGTAGGGTGTGAGGCCTCTGGGAGGAGGGAAGGAAAGTAGAGGAGCCTCAGGGGGCAGGGCTATTCCGGGGCGGGTGGTGAGGAGCGCCACATGGGGCACAGCTCCTTGAAGTGCCAATCACAGAAAGGTTAGTGGTGGGAGGGCCCGCTGAGGAAGTGGATTGTGGATCTGCCTCACCTGGGAATGAAGAATTCCCACTCATCCTCCCCGGCTCTAACACCTCCGAGGGCCATTACTACAGGCATCACAGAATTCACGCAATTCAATTCATTCAACACCCCAGAGTGAGGGCTGCAGGACAGAGAAAGACAAGCCTAAGTGGGTGGATGGTACCTGGAAACATTAACTCAAGTGAGGGGATGGGCCAGGCGTGGTGGCTCACGCCTGTAATCCCAGCACTCTGAGAGGCCAAGGCAGGCAGATCACCCGAGGTCAGGAGTTCGAGACCAGCCTAGCCAACATGGTGAAACCCTGTCTCTATTAAAAATACAAAAATTAGCCGGGCATGGTGGCAGGCACCTGTAATCCCCGCTAGTTGGGAGGCTGAGGCAGGAGAATGGCTTGAACCCAAGAGGCAGAGGTTGCAGTGAGCTGAGATCGTCCCACTGCACTCCAGCCTGGGCGACAAGAGCGAAACTCCATCTCAAAAAAATTATAATAACAAAAAAAGTGTGAGGGGATGTTTTCCAAAGCCCCATCCTGGGCAGTCACTGTGAGGACCACTGACAGAGTCTCTCTCATCTCCTCACTCTGAAAGCATTCCACTGGGGAGAGTCAACCCTGGCTCGGGGCTTCCTCCACACAGCACACGGCCCTTCCTGCAGGGCCAGGCTCTGAAGGGAGTTACGTGACGTTGGTCAGGTCAAGCTTAACAGAGGGAAGGGCAGGGCTGCGGGTCCCCAGGTCTGGGCAATTAGGCGGCACGGGAGAGTGACTCACAAGAGCAGCACGCGGTACCATGGCCACAGCTCTGAGTTCATGATAGAGGTGGGGAACCCGCCTGCCCATAAAGGAAATGAGAAAACCCCAAGAAAATACAACCCTGCTGCCACGTGACCTATCTCCATCAAGACTTCTCCCTGGCCCAACCCAGAGTGCTTAGGCCAGGCTGGGCCACTCCTGATGGCGGCAGGCATGGGAGTGGCTGGAACCTCGGGAAGCAGCCCTGGATGGGGCAGGTCTGGACCTGCCCTGGCTCCCACCCTCCATCATCCCTCACCCAGGAGCCCCCACAGTTCTGTGAGCAGAGAACACTCAGGTGCTGCGTAAAAACCGTGGCTAGCACCCCCACAGAAGGTTGTTCATTTCTTCCCTCTGGGCCCTGGCTGGTGCTAAACGCCACCTCCCTCTCTCTCTCTCTTTTCAATCAACACAATGCTGACCCATGTGTCCAAAGGAAGGAAAGCTCTATCTCCACTGACTCATCTGTAGGGCATTTGTGGGTAAGGAGACAGCTGTGGGAGAGAGGATCAGGACCCCCGGGGCTCTCACTCCAGCCCACCCAGAGGTGCTCCCACCCTACGCAGAGTTCCTCACCGCCTGCAGCTTCTCTGTCAGCTCCCGGCGTCGGTTCCGGCACTTGGCTGCAGCCAGCTTGTTCCTCTCCCGCCGGATGCGACGCTTCTCCTCCTCTTCAGGAGACAGCTAGAGGCCAAAGCCAAGGATCATGGTTAGAACAGAGACAATGGTTCACAGTATTTTTTAAAAACTGTATTTTAAGTAAGGCAAGAAGCCCTTCTGGAAATGGAGAAAGGAGAAGGAAGGGCAAGAGGAGCATGGCTGGACTCAGAGGCCCCAGAACATGTGGATCCCTGATGTCTGGCTGCCTGGGAGGGCTCTTTTGAGCTGAATCTGCCCCGGAAGGTGATGTCCAAGTTTAAAGTCCATGTTTAAACAGGACAGCAATGGGTCAGAGATTCACTGGCCCAGGCATGATGGCAGCACCTATCACATCAGCCCTGATTCAGTGCTCAGGCCAGAGAGAAGGAGCTGGGGATGCTTCTCCAAGAGTCCCCTCCTGCCAGCCAGGCGTGGCCCCACCCACTTAAGCAGCTTCTTCCAAACCCTGGCTAATTTCTCCTCCCATCACTCTGCCTGCTCTGCAAGCCTCATTATCCCCATTTTGTTAAGTAGCTGGGCCTGGAGTCCCCACACAGGTTAAGAACCACCCAGGGGGGAATGTTATGTTGCTGATGGGAGGGCCAAGAGTGCCACTCCACTCCCGATTTCCTCTGCCAATCCCAGGGTGCCAGCTGCTCACGGTTCAACCCCAGGTACTCCCCCACATGCCTGGTACAGTGCTAAGTTGGACAGGACATGCAAAAGGAAGAGGAGCCCCCAGCAGGTAAAATCCTGCTGCCCACCATATCTGTCCACTCAACAAGTGAGCACCTGGTTCCATGTGCAAGATGAAGTTCTACGGGCTTGGGATTTATCTGCGAACCAAACAAAGGAAGATTCCCCTGCAAAGAGCTTAGGATCTAGCTTCTTCCAGTGAGACAGTTAGGAATCTGTCACTCATACCGGAAAGCATGAACTCTGCTCTACTGAGCAGGGCAAATGCTCTGGTTCTACAGAGCCCTGCAGAGCTGTGACCCCAATGCCTCTCTCAGGCAGAGGTGACACAAGGAGACGGCTGTGGGCCAAAGCAGAAAGCAACACAAAGGGAAAGCCCACCCATTCAGTTATCAGACGTTGACTGCACACCTACTAACTGCCCGGTGCTACACTAGGAGCTTAGAAGATCTCAAGGGGAATAAGACCTGGGTCAGCTCTCACGGGACACCTGGGGGCAAAATCAAAGCTACTTTTGGAGGAGCAGGGAGAAGCTACCCCAAGGAGGGATACTGCCTGGACTTCAGGTCACCCCATGAAGGAAAGAGCCACTGTCCTGGTTGGGTCCAAGTCAGAGTCCCACAATGCTCCCTTTAGCCCTGGAGGTCTGTTGCTGTGATGTTTTGAACAGCAAAGAGAGGACAATCATCACAGCACCAGAGAGGACAATCCCATGCCTGTCACACAGAGGGAAGTCCACAGCCCGGCTGAGGTCATGAGGCCATTTGGCCAAGGCCCTGAATACTTCCTGCTCCTAAACCTGTCTTGTCTTGAGCCCAGCAGAATTGCCAAGAAAGCCTTATGGCCCTGCTGCAGGCCTGGGTTTAGGGCTCACCACTGAAAGGGCCACCAGGGCTCCCCTTAAGGCCCAGGAAGCCCCCTAGATCCCTCGCTAATGAGAGGCAGAAAAGAAGGAGGCTGGCCTTGACCCAGTTCAAGCCCTCCTTCCCCCTTGGCTGCTTCTGGACAACTTTTGGCCTCCTGACTGACCTAGAAGTCTCTCCCCTGACTGGTGAGGTGTGGGGCAACTTGTGGGAGCTGTCAACATAGGAAGTGTTCAGGGGCGGTGAGATCAACATGGTTCCAGCTTGAGTGTGTCAGCAGCACCATGTACCCACCCACAAGCCACACACACCCTCCCCTCCCCACCTCCTCAGAGTCGCCGCCACAGGGCACAGAGGGAACCTCCCAAGAGGAGGCCTATGAGGCACCAGGCCGGCTCCGGAGGCAGGCTCCTCCCTAGCAGGGAGGCTGGGGGAGGCTGGGGACGGCCGGAGTAAGCTTCAGAGCAAAGCCCTGAGGGCTGGCAACCTGAACAGCCAAAGTTCTAGGCTGCCACTGCCCAGGCTTCCTTAAAGCTGCTGGGAGATGTGTGAATTCCCAACTGATGTGGGATACAATGCTCCTTGTTCTCTCCCTCCCTCTCAAAAAAGGAAGGAAACTCTCCAGACAGATTGTATGAGGCACGCCTAGGTGGTGTGGTGGGAAAACCACAGGGCCAAAGGTCAGGAGAAGTGGGTTCCAGTGCTGGCTCTGCTACTAATTCACTGTGAGACTCTAACAGGGCCCTTCACCTTTCTGGGTCTCCGTTTCCTTGTCTGTAAAATGGGTATAAAGGGAAAATGAGAAAAGATGGTCTCCAAAGTCCCTCTGGATACAAATTTCTAAATTTGGTGTGAGGTAGGCCCAGAAGAGAATGGAGAGCGTGGCCGGGCGCGGTGGCTCACGCCTGTAATCCCAACACTTTGAGAAGCTGAGGCGGGTGGATCACCTGAGGTCAGGAGTTCGAGACCAGCCTAGCCAACATGGCAAAATTCCATCTCTACTAAAAGTACAAAAAAAATTAGCCAGGCATGGTGGTGCATGCCTGTAATCCCAGCTACTCAGGAGGCTGAGGCAGGAGAATTGCTTGAACCGCGGAGGTGGAGGAGGTTGTAGTGAGCCGAGATCGTGCCACTGCATTCTAGCCTGAGTGATAGAGCAGGACTCCATCTCAAAAAGAAAAAAAAAAAAAAAAAAAAAAAGGGAATGGAGAGCATTCAGCACATCCTCAGGCTTTGTGGTCCTGCTAGCCCCAAAGAGTACCTGGCAAGCCTGGCTCTCACTCAGGATCACTTATATCCCAGAAGAGTCCAGCTCATCAGTGAGTATAAGGCTTTGCACCTTGGATTCCGTGAAGGAAGCCTATTTATAAAAGTCCTTACAAGCATGGCTACTGCAATATTTACAACTGCAATTATAGAAAGCAACTGTGAGGAGGATACTGGCCACTTGCTCCAGCAGCAGAGGCCCAACATGCAGCTGTGAATCCATTATAGTGTCTAGCAGACACACCTCCCCAAGTGGCTCTGCACCGTGGTTCTGCCATTAACAGAACAAACCAACAAGTAGTGGATACAAGACCCAGCTTTGTCCTCGCAGGAGCAGAGCTCCTGAGAAAGCTTCCAGTTTCTTGGTGTGGTGATCCCTGTAATTCCAAGTATCCTGGGGTCTGGATCTACCCTGATCCACTGGGAACCATGTTTGAAAGGTCCGTATATTGGAACATTGTGGCCCTGGGGATCACAGAGTGAAGATGGACAGTGGTTGAAATGAGGAAGGGTTCCAAGGCTGTCACTGAAATAGTTTCCCAGGATAACAATTCATTTGAAAAAGGGATTCCACTGCTAAAGTATTTTTCCCTTCCCTGGGCTCAGGGTGGCATAGCCCTGGAGAAAGAATACTGCATAGGGGGTCCAGGGAACTGGGATCTAGCCCAGACTTCCCCACTCACTGGCCGAGTGGCCACACACAGGTATGTCTGGCCCTTGCTTGTATCATCTGACATGGGGGAGAGGTGGGGCTCTCTGAGGCTTTATCCCATTCTTTCTGGAATTATGCATGATTCTGATTTCCCTTTCCAAGACCAGGGAACTTGGCACTGCCCTGGCTTACTGCTGATCCAGGCAATGAGCCTCTTGAGTACTAGGTAGGTGCTGCCTAAATAGCAGAGCCCCCCCTTCCCCATTTTCTGGCTTCCCTCCCCAGCCAGGTTAATTCTTTCTCAAAGCTGAGCCCCTTGAAGAGAAAAGGGCTGATGTCTGGCCTCCCCTGCCTCATCCTCCTGTCCATGCCACTGAACAGACTCCTAAGGCCCCAGAGTTACTGCACCTCTGGAACATGCATTCCAGGCCCTTGAAATAGGCTCCTGCTCCGAGTTGGAGGCCTAGAACACTGAGGAGGAATGGGAAGTCGTGGGCAGTACCGACCCAGAGCTTGACCCCGTAGGTCTGCTGGGTGCCTGGCCTGCACTAGACCCTGGGAGACGGCTAAGGGATAATCCTAAAAAGCTCACAGCCAGGGTTCATTGGCTGCTTGTCCCATGGCCCTTTTGCCAAGGATCAGAGAAGGATCCTGCTGTGGGCAGGTCGTAATGGTCCTTCCCATCTGTAGCCAAGTCCTGGCTTGCAGGGACCATGATCCCCATTTTGTGGCTGAGGAAAGTGAGACTCAGAGATTCTAAGGGACATAAGCGAGATGACAGAGCCAGCCTGAGTCTTGGCTCTCCAGCTCGGCCTCCAGTAAGGGGGATGACGTGCTCTTCGACCCCTAGCTCCCTTGTCTCCCCTGCTCTCAGAACATTAACCCTCCCAGTCTGCAGAAACCCGTTCTGTGTTTCTGGGGCTCTGAAAGCCACTGACGTGGCTCCTTCCCACTGGTCTGAGCTGTACCTGCTCATCTCTCCTCCTGCGGCCCACGGTGGTGCCAATGGTCTTGATCACGCCAGGTCTTGGGAGGGCCATGTGTCCAGGGACAGAGGCCAGGCCCGGCAGGGGGCTGTAGGGGTGCGAGCGAGGGTATGGGTTGGACATGGAGGTGATCACTGTGGGCTGCACCATCCACTGCAGGTCCTGGCTGGTCGTGATGGCGTTGATGGTGGGGATGAATGCACTGCCTGAGCCAGGCATATCTACCCGGAATTTCTGAAATGAGGAAAAAAAATACAAATGAGCCAATAAATACTAAGCTGAACAGGATAGTTAATAATAATTGAACAGAGCTGAGGCAAAAACCAGCACAGAGCACAGTCAGTGTTCGAAGGGCAAGGTCAGGACCCCAGGTGGGCCTGGACAAGTCCTGTGCATCCAAGAATCAAGGGGGGAATCTTAATTATGCCTGGGGCTTCACGTCGGATCTGCTCCCTGACTGGGGTCCTGAGAACTCCATCCCCAGGTGGCTCAGTGAGGATACTGTCCTATTCCAAATGACTTCCAAGATAGACGTGGTCCCCAGCACTCACACTCGGCAGGCCCTCTTGGCAGCTCTCCAGGATACACATCTGCAGGATGTGGCACCTGGGTTTTTAAGCCTCTGAGTCGCCTGCCAACTGTTTCTCAGGGTACCAGCTCAGGACACCTTGAAGGGATTTGCACACCAGTAGCCTTGGACCAACAAAGATCACCAAGGGAGCATACTGTGTCTGCCTTTGTCACTTTCCAAAGAGGTTCAGGACAGAGCTATGACTCCATCAGGGCACAGCCAGGTCCGTGAAAAGATGTCCTCTAACCCAGGAGACTAACAAGTAGCGGCATTTGCAGCCAGACATCCCTTGCTGTCCTTGTCCCTCCTCCCTTCCCATCATCAGCATCTTGCTTGGGGCAGACTGGCTGAGTGTGTCTCTCTACCCAGCTACATAGGCATTGATCTATGTTCACAGATGTTTCTGTGGGAAACTCTGGTGCTGCTAGTGCAGTTTTCTCCCCGCTTCTTAATTTATGCCCAGACCACGTTGCAGAGCTCTCTGGAACATGCTGCAGGAAGCATTCTATTTAAAATATAAGATGATGACAGAGTATAGAAACTAAAATGGGCTGTGCTCCTTAGCAGCTGGTCCTGACCTTTCTCCAAGGCAGCTACTGGAAACTGCAAGAAGCGGGAAGGAGAGAAGAGCCCCCTACTTCCAGCTTTTCAGAGGCAAGTCCCCCTAATGGAACCCAGGTGAACCTTCATCTTCAGATGACTCCTGTGTCCACATAAAGCTTCTCCAAGTAGTTTCTTCCCCACTTAAAAACTGGGTGAGATGAAGACAATAGCTAACAACACTTCCTGGGCACTTACTAAATGTCAGACACCATGGCTTACCTAGATTATCTCACTAATTCTCTCTCTGAGTGAAGAACGACCATTAGCTCCATTTTAGGGACAGAAATTTAGGCTTAGTGAGATTAAGTAACTTATTCAAGGCCACATTGCTAATAAGCAGCGGGGTCAGGATTCAAACCCAGTCCAGCCTGACAAAGAGGCCAGAGCCCCTGAACACAGTGGTATACAAGCTCCTTTTCCATTGCTTTCTTCCTCAAAATCCAGCCCTAAGTGCTGGTTATCCACCCCCACTGCCCTCAGACAGAGTGTCAGGTCATCCCCTATAGACCTCCCCTCTCACAAAGAAGGTACCACAGGTCTGTCTGGCCCCGAATGGAACCCCACTATCATTAGCATGGATGCTGTAGAACCCTCCCTATGCTGGTCCAATCAGACCAACTAGGATAGAAGCATTCGCAGCAATGGAAGCTGGCACCACCATTGTCTTTGCCTTGTCACAACATCAGGGTTCCTGCTGTGTAAATAACACATAGAGTACCTCACTACAGCTGACAGAGCTGGGGACCCCTTCTTGCTCAATTCCCTGCTATCTGCCTGACCCTAGTCTGCATGTTGGAACGGCTGCCTCATCAACCAGACCACCTCGGGGGCCCAGGCCAAGGGCTTCAGTGAAGAGAGCTGCCCAGCACAATGGATTCTGGGATTCTGGAGGAAAGTTACCCAGTGCAATGGATTCTGGGGTTTGGGAGGAGAGCTGCCTAAAGCAATTGGTTCTAGGATTCTGGAGGAAAGTTACCCATTGCAATGCATTCTGGGATTCGGGAGGAGAGCCACCTAGAGCAATGGGTTCTGGGATTCTGGAGGAAAGTTACCCAGCACAATGCATTCTGGGATTCGGGAGGAGAGCTGCACAGAGCAATGGGTTCTGGGATTCTGGAGGAAAGTTACCCAGTACAATGCATTCTGAGATTCAAGAGGAGAGTTGCACAGAACAATGGTTTCTGGCATTCTGGAGAAAAGTTATCCGGTGCAATGCATCATTCTGAGATTCAGGAGGAGAGCTGCCTAGAGCAATGGGTTCTGGGATACTGGAGGAAAGTTACCCAGTACAATGGATTCTGGGATCCCGTGAAGAGAGCTGCCCAGGGTGATAGATTCTGAGTTGCATTTCTGAAGGCAAAGAAAAGTGGGCTTTTTATCAGGCGCTGACTGAAAAGCAGCAGGTGTGTGCATATGAAGGAGGGAAGAGTGCAGTGAACAGGAAAGCATCCAAGTGGGAAATGATCTTCAAGGAGGAAAAATGGCCAATTGGGGCTGGGCTGTGAGTAGGCAGAGTCGTGAGAACAGCAGGCATGGCTGAGTGTGTGTAGAAGCACCAAGTCCCAGACAGCTATTTTTTTCCTGAGCTGCTGGATGGGAGGGGCGGGGAGTCAACACTGCACTCGGGGTCAGGAGGCATGGGGTTGAGGCCTGGCTTAGCCACTGAGTGCCTTGCCCTGGGCTCAAGGACTCAATTCCATGGATGTAAAGGGGAATACTCATCAAACTCACTGCACTGCCATGAGGATTAAATGAGTAGCTACTTGTAATCACAGGCTATAAAAGCACGCCAGTGGTTCTCAACCCTGGCTACACATTAGAATATTCCAAGGAGCTTGTAAAAAACACACTAATGTCAGAGCCTCGCCATTAGACCTCTAAAATAATTGGTTTGGGGCAGGGCTCTGATAAGCTTTTTTTTTTTTTTTAAACCCCCAAGGAGAGTCTGTTGTGCAGCCAGGGTTGAGAAACATTGCTCCAAACCAATGGAAGGTCACCATCACCACCACCATCATCATTAGATGTGCCTGTGTACTCTGCCCAGGAGGCTCTGGGGAGAAGTGCCAGCTACCCACTCCTGGGAAGCACCCAACTTTTAAATTCCATTTCTCTCCCCAAGCCAGGTTCTGGGTTTGAAATGCACCTGAGGCATTCAGCACAATGGTTTGATATGACTCCCTCCTCCATGGGGAAGCTGTCAGCTTTCCTTTTAGGAAAGCACCTAAGAAAGTCACTCCTCATTCCAACAAATAAAAGTGCTCCCGTTTTAGGCTTGGGGAACCCAGCAGAAAATCTGAAGCAAAGCTGAGGGACAAAGACCCCTTCAGAATAAGTGGATGCCTATTAGCCCCTCTGAGGCCCTCTAGTCCACCCGCTCTGGAGGGCAGGTCCGTGGTGTGTGCTCCCCGGTATACATCAGCCAGATTCCTCGCAGCAATGGCTTGGTCTAGACAAAACAAGACAGCAATAAAAACCAGCCAGGAGGTAATGACTGCCTCTGAAACGCATGTACACCTTGTTTCAGACAGGAGGCAAAGCCATCTGGATAATACACTGGCTCTAAACTGCAAGGAAAACAATGTCCCATCCCCAGAGGGGCCCGGGGCTCTGATAAAGAAGGCTTTTGTCTCCAAGAGGAGCTTCTCTTGGAGACACACAAAAGTTTCAATTAGATCTGGCAGATGGGTCTTGTCTCAACTCCCAGCATGTTATTCAGAAACGTGTTATTCAGAAACGTGTTATTCAGACACTGGGGTAGGAGAGAAGAGGTGAAGTTAGGAGTTTGTGGTCCCAGAAGTTAGCCTAGCATTCTTCTATGCCAATAGACCCGAGAATCAGCCACATGTCACACTGGAGATAAATCGTGGTTCTCTACGGACGAGTTAACACTAAACACAAACCAAGATAGAGCTGCTCAGCTGGGGGCTACAGGGCAGTTTCAAACCTGCTGCATGCATGCCAGGAGTGTGCTGGGAGTGATGGGATCAGGAGAGGTAACCCAAAACCTCACTCGGCTGCCTGGGGCTCTGTAGCCAACATGTCCTCCTCAAGGACACTTTGAAGATGCTGGATGCCTATGTAGCATTCCAGCCTGGCAAAGCCTCCAAATATTTCACTGTGTCACCCTGTCAACTGCGGGGTGGGCAAGAATGCCTATAAAAGGATATAGTGGTCCCCATCCACCTCCTAGAGCAGAGTTTAGCAAACTTTTGCTGTGAAGGGTCAGACAGCAAATATTTTAGGCTTGGTGGGCTATACGGTCTTGGCTGCACCTCAATTCTGCCACTGCAGTGCGAAAGCAGCCCTAGATAACATGTAAACAAATAGGCAGGACTGTGCCACTGTATTTTATTTAGAAAAATACTCAGGACATAGTTTGCCAACCCCTGTCCCAGAGGTTCATTCTCATCTCCCATGCTCAGGTTGGAGGGAAACGAATACAGAGGAAATAAGAAAGCAAAAAGTCAGAACTGAGATGTTCCTCCAACCCAGGTAGCCGAGGAGACGGGCTCTCACTTATCAGCTTGAACCTCCAGACCCTGAGCCGACGTTCAAACCCTTACAAGCCTTGTGGTCTTTGGGCATGGAAACTCCCATCACCCTGCTGTACCCTGTTGCTAGGGTGCCACCGGGCTGCTTGGGAAGGATGCGTGTGCTCCTTCCACTGCCAATGAGAAAGACGGCCGAAAACACGGACCCTCTAGGGCCACCAAACCTCAGCAGGTCAGAGAAGTTCCCCCCACAACAGTTGCTGATTTGGGAAAACTGCCTCCTGAGACTCTATACTGGAGCCTTGGCTTCAGCTATGAACCCATGGCTTTTTGCTGACAGGTATTGGAACTAGGGTTTGGGCCCCTACAGGACCGGATGGGGCCGAGGGCTTATCCCAGAGACTCGTGAGTGGGCAGAACTGGTATGTGAGATGGAAGTCAGGGTTGGGGTTCTTGGCCCAGCCCCTTGGCCAGGCGATTCTCCATCAGATAGATTTTTGTCTGGGTTATCAAGCATTCAAGCCATGAAGCCCTGTGGACTCTGTAAACTGCCTTGCCAGGCAAGCAGGTATGATTGAGTGTATCTAGGAAGGGACTGGGTTCTTTCCCTTTAAGAACCCTTTCTTTAGATTCCCAGGATGGAAAAGGGACAATTCCAACATCCTAGAAGATTGGCTCCCAAGAAGAGAAAAGGATAAGGGCACAATCTGTCTCATACCTCCCATCACATCCCCACTGAGGTCCAGTTTAACGCAAATACTCTGTATTTTTACTGAACCTGGGATGTTCCCCAAAGCCTTCCATAAGGAATTTAACCATTCTTCACAGGTTCTGCGTTGAACATCACTTTGACCTCTGACATTTCATTCCTCTCTGAAGAAATACCACTATGTCACAATGGAAACTGTTGCTAATAAGTTGTGATTTCCCAAAGCGTTACAGTTTATAAATGCTGTCTTAGGTGACTCGCCTCCCTTCAGCCTCCACGCTTTCCTGGGTTCCCTTGAAAGACTTACTCTATCCTCCTCCACCTGGCTGCCTGCCAGGGGGAAGAGAAGCAGGGAAGGAAAGAAACAGAAAGAGAAGGCCTTAGCCCTCGTCCAGGCTCCCCAGCTGCTTCCCTGCCAGGGCCCTTTTGGCCAGAAGCGCCACTCCAAAGCACTGGGGAATTCACTCCACTAGTGTGTGGGCCCCTTTGGAGCCCCCACAGCTCCCTGGCGGCTCTGTACTCCATGGGAATGACACGTCCTCTCATCCTCCATTAAAGCCACCGGAAGGTGAGCCTAGGAAAGTCTCACTGCCACGGGACAGGGCCGAGAGACCAGGTGGGCCAGGAGAAATCTTATACCTTCCCTCTCTGGCCCAGGGAGTGGAGAAGGGATAGAATTACCAGATGGGGTTTGGAACAGATATATTTGCCTCAATCAGGGCAGCTGCTGTCATTTTGAAATACTGTGGCCACCAAAAGACACCACATACAACATAGATGAGACATATCCACAAAGTAATGATGCTATTTTTTTCTTTGTTTCAACAAATAGACCGGAACGTTCGTCTCCTTAATTCTCACAACCAGTATCTTTATTCCTATCTAACAAATGAGAAAAAAAATCCAAGTTATTGACGGCAAAGGTGCCTGCTTTGGTGTCCTTTGTCGTGGGCATGCTCTCCCAGGTAGACTCTAGAGGCCTGCAGGACACAGGGTCACACCCTACTTTGGCCTCAGCCTGATCATCCAGACTTGTATGTCAGACTCGGCTCCAAAGAGGCTTTTGGTAATTTCCAAATATCAAATTCACCCTTCAAAGGACAAAGATTTGTTAGTAGGGAGGATTTTCAAAAGAATACGCTGAAAGCAACTGCAAAAGAGGGGGTACTGCAAAACCTTTCTGAGTCTAAGCATAGCCGCAGCATTCAGATAAGCATTTAGTCTCCCCAAGGAAAAAACAAGGAAGGGGATGACAGTGACAAGGATGAATAAGTTCTGCTGTGTTTGTATTAAGATAGAGAAGAAAAAACAAGTCTCCCAATTTTACCCTCACCTTGAATAATAAGACAGGCAGAAGCAGAAATGGGTAGTGGAAATGCACTCAGCGTTTTGGATAGGAAAATTCAAATGCCTTTCAGACAATACATGACTGCTATTTCACCCCATTCCCTTTGATGAAAAAGTGAAGCTGACTTCCACCATCAAGAATCAGCGGAACAGACAAATTCTTGGGATAACATTTTGTTTGATCCTAATCTACAACATCTGTAACATCAAGGGGAAAAAAAAAAGCACCCAGACCCTTAATCTATGCCTCCCACATTCCCACCAACTGAACAAGCCCCCTCCTAATATAAGCACATAGGAAAACATGCCTTGGGAATTTGAACAAACTGTGAAGGCAACCTAATGAATAGACAGACATCAAAATAGGAAAAGAAAAAAGCACTCCTTTTTTTATTTTTATTTTTTATTATACTTTAAGTTCTAGGGTACTTGTGCACAACGAAAAAGCACTCCTTTTTTAACCAGGTTTTATTTAGAAGAAAACAAAAAAGAAACTCAAAGTCAAGCAGTTCCTAGTTAACCACGGTTAAATATGTGGCATTTATTTGTCCCTCATTAAAAAGAAAAAGCATCCTAAGAATTCCAAACTCACCAATTTAACACTCTCTGGGACTGGAAAAATACATTCCCAAGATAGTTTTCCTAAAAATTTCCCGTAGAGGGCACTAGAGAGGTATGATTGAGGCTAGCTTGGGAATCACAGTCATTTCTGGTAAAAGTTCTTTGATGTGAGGAATGTCCCAGTCTGGTACAGTTGGCAAAAGTTCACTCTGGGGAATTTTGTGTGTGTGTGTGTGTGTGTGTGTGTGTGTGTGTGTGTGTGTGTGTGTCTTGGGAAGGGGTGGTTGAGGAAGAAGAGTGCTAGTCTGGTATTCCTTAACTCCAAAAAGGAAATACTGCCCTTGATTTATTTTCACAAGTTATCTGAGAAACAAATAGCAGCCTTGGAAAAGTTCTAGGTCTTGTTTTTGTTTTGTTTTTTCATTAAAAGGGGGCCCAGCTGATGAAAACAAGTTATGAAATGACCTATGTTTGTGTAACTGGCTGGATTGCGTAATGCTCAGGCCCTGAAACCGTAATAGTCAAGCAGCCAGGCAGGGCATATATCTGGGAGATGTTTTCCTAGGAAAGTTAGGAGAGAAAAAACAACAGCAAAAAGAAAAATCCAAGAAGGGGAGGTGTGTGCAACGGTTACTGACAAAACAAAATCACCAATGACCAACCTTTGAGATTAAAACTATAACTGGAACAGGAAATATTTTTCATGCCTCAAGTTCCTGCCATATATAAGAACAGAGGCTGTAACAAAGACTAGTCTGCTCCCCCCACCCCCAAAGTCACTGGAGCTCATGGCCATGTATTAAGATCCAGCTTCATGAAGCTAGAGAGGACGGGAAAGCTCTGGGTTGAAGAACTGGCAACAAACTAATCAGGAATATTGGACCCCCAAAAGAGAGAGCTGAAAAAAATAAAATTCACTTCCCCAGAGAAAAACCAGAGAACTGTCTCATATGGATCGGTCCACTGAGATGCCATAAAAGAGAAAGGCCCATCCACTAATTGCCAGGAAAGTCTTCCAGTACAGGAAGCGGAGAGAAATAAAGTGATTACAGGTTTTATCTGGTATGTAGTAAAGTTACCTTGAGCCCAAGATCGGGCAAGGTCATAGCATAGACTTGTGAAGGAACAAAAGCCTCTGAGGTCAGTCCTTAGGACCACAGAACAATTTTGTTCACACTTGGAGCAATGACAGAAAAATCCACCAGTTCCTCCTCGTCCCCCACCCAACCACCACCACACCAAGGAGCGGACAGGCCAAGAAACTTGTCTCAAGTGGCATTACCTTGCCAATCCCTCCGGTTTGAAAGGCGCCTCACACACTGCCGGGCCGAATGGGCAGGCGTCTATGCGAAACCCCGTGCACTGGTTATTGCTAATTGCAAAATACTCATGTGTTACAGCATGCTAGGAATTAGCCAACAGCTGCTTTTTGCTTCGGTAATGAGGCCCTATTACACTCTGCTGGACTGAGTTCTCTTCCTTCTTCCTAGCACTGGTTTCCTGTCTGATTTTCTTCCAAAACCGGGAATTGCCTCCGCTCACATCCTGGGCTCAAAGCCCTAGTGACACAGATTATTCAGTTGGGGCACTGATGTCCGGTCTGACTTCCCTCCAGGCCCCAGGGTCTATGCTAAACCAGGCAGTGAGATTGTAATACTCCAATGATCACTGCTAAAGACACATTAGGGAAAAGAACAGAGAAGAAATCAAAAGATCCCTTCCTGATTTCAGGGAGGAGGAGACAGACAGGCGTTTGGGGTTTGTCGAACGGGAGACGGAGGGAGTGGGTACAGACTTCAACCTATTCCCTCATTATGTTTACATTCAACACAAACCACTAGCGGGGCTGGGAAGCAAACATAATCAACAACTTTTCGGATTTTAAACTCATCACCTTGGTGCTCATTACGAAGGGTGCATTGACTGCACCCTCAATGAACAGACTAGGCTGTCTCTACTGTGGGTGCTTATAGGAGCACCATGGGAGGCAGAGGGAAGACAGAAAAGCCATTTTGGGGACTCACCAGGTATAGGGAATCACTTTGGAACAAGGGACCCCCCCATCAGATCCAAAAGAGAGCCACGTTCCAAAATTCTTTCCAGCTGAGTCCACCCCTCCCTGGAAGCCCACCCTAGCCCCTTCTAGAGGCCAAGGCCACCGCCTTATGGAGCATGAGCATCCCTTGCTGCAGCCAACTATGCTAGACTCCACAGATGCTGACCACGGTGGGCTTCATGTTGTATTGGGCCTGCGTTAACCCAGCTCTCTCTCGAGACAGAGCGGGTGGGGGAGCTGCAGCAGAGGGCAGACACGCCATCAGCACCCCCCCGCCAACAGCACCTTCCTGGTATTTATAAACACAGAGATCACACGCACAATCCCTCCAGTGCAAACCAGTCCGGCTGCTTTAGAAACAAGTTGTTTTCTGCTTCCAGAACCACCCAGGAGCCTGCGTGATGTCTCTTCCCCCACCCGACCCCCTCTTCCCTCTGCCGGTCTCCTTGCTCCAGGTACCCCCAGACCCTCAAGGTGCTCCTTCGTTCCTGGGGGGCAGTGCAGCCTCCTGTCCGTGATCCTTACAGAAGACGGGTCGGCGGGGGGGCAGGCAGGCAGGCAGGGGGCACACAGGCGGCATGAGCCAACCAAGGCTGGCTTCTTCCTTCCTGACCTTCGCACCTGATTCCCAGAGCGGCAGCCCTCGCCCTCGCTCCAGATTACTTGAAGGAGTCCAACCATGTTTCTGGGTCCCCAACCCCTTTCAGAAAGGAGTTATGACTGATGGAGAACGGGGAGGAGAGAGAGAGGGCTTTCCTGAAGGAATAGGGTCCCAGGATGTCGAGAGGTGCCAGTGGGTGCAAAGATTTTCTTGTCTGTCCACCACCCAGAGAGAAGACGCGGGGCAGGGGTGGGGGGGGGGGGGCAGACACTGGGGAGGGGGAGTAGTTCTTGGAAGGAGGTAACAGGCTCCTGGTAGGGGGCCTACAATTCCAGGAGTCTATCTGGGTAAAATATAACGTGAGAGGAAAAGGGCATGTTGTCTCTTCAAGCCCACTCTCCAATCCCCTAGTTTAAAAGGGGGTGGGGGGGAAGGGGAGGACGAAAATCCAGAACTTACAACGGTGGCCCGTAGGTATTTTCTCGCCAAGAAAAAGAAAAGAAAGCAAAAGAGGCAGTGGCGGCGAGAAGAGGGCAGGGGTCCGCCCGCGCCGCCAGGTGCACCGGGGCCCGCACCTACCTGCTGGCCGCCGCCGCCGCTGGAGTAGGACTCGGCGTGCGCAGGAGAGCCGCTGCTGCCCCGGGACGAGGTGTCAAAGTTCCCGGGATAATCCTGGTACATGATCCGCGGTGGGGGCCGGAGAGGAAACAGGGTGTTTTTCTTCCCCCGCCCTCGCCGCGGCCGCGCACCGGCTGCTGCGCGCTCGTTCGTCCGCCGGCCGCGCCGCGGGCTCTGGGCTTCGCTCCTGGGTTTCTCCCCCACCGCGGAGGGCGAGGACAGGGAGGCGGCGACACCTCAGGAACAGCGTCCCCCGAGCGTCCCTTACAGCACTTCTTTCCGGCTCTGCGAGCGCCGCGGGACCAGTTGTCCACCCGATCCCTCCCTCTAAAAAGTCGGCGCGTCTCTCGGTCCCTCCCCTGCGCGCGCCCTCCCGCCCCCGCGCGCAGCCGGAGCTCAGCGGGGACCCACGGCCCAATCAAAAATTGGAAATTAAAAAAAAGATTAGGAGCCCAGCGAGCCTGGCCTGCCAGCCCTGGGGACCCCCGATTTCAGACAGGGCCAAAAAGGCGGAAAGAAAAGCTGTCCGCTGGGAGAAACTTCTGTTTCTTCCTTTTAGAAAAGGAGCCGGAGAATAAACTTCCCGTGGCCGACTCGCCGCCCGAGTTTCGGGGCGGCTCGGATACTTGACTAGGAGAAGGCGGCGTGCGCCCGTCCCGCGGCCCCGAGCGCGCCAGGGGGACAGCGGCTCGTGGGGCTCAAGTAGAGCTGGCGCTGAGAGGGACGCGGCCCCGCTCCCCGCTCCGGCGCCCAGACCCGCACCCCTTCCCCGGAGCCCGCTCCCGGACGGGCCCGCCTCGCCCGGCCGCGCCTCTCCCTCTCTCTCTCTCTCTCTCTCCCTCTTTCTGTCCCCGCCGAGCGCCGCTCGTTCGCTCGCTCGCTGGTTCGCTCGGAGCCCTAGCGCTCTGCCCGAGATGAGTCACTACAATGGCACGAGTTCAACTCACACTCTTTATTCTCCAGCCCTGTACCATGTGGATTCACTCACGTCAACCCCAGACTCCACCTTGCAGGGAGGAGCGCACGAGGAGGCGGGGGGAGGAGGCCGCGGAGGAGGAAGAGGCGCGGGAGGGGAGGAGGCGGGCGCAGCTCTCCCCTCCCAGCCCCGGCTCCCGGCCGCGCTGACGCCAACCGCGCACCCCGCGCGAGGAAGCCAGGCGGTGGCACGGGCGGGAGCGGGCGCCACGCACGGTTCGGAGGCGCCGAGGCAGCCCCGGCCCTCCCCAGTCCCCCGCTCACCCCCCGGGCCCAGCGCCCTTGGTCTGTTCCATTGGCGCACGTTGCCAAAGATGGTCATTTGCGTTAGAGGACGCGAGTGCGGGTTTCCTCGCTTTCGGGTGACGTGGAGGGAGAGGGATTCCCTCGCCCGCTCCCGAGTGCGCTGCGGCCTCTCCCCCGCCCTGGGAAGGGGCTCGGGGCGGGGCCCCGAGAGCGGCCGCGCGGGTCTCGCCTCCGGATTTTAGAAAATAATCACAGCCCTGACGGCGAGACGGGCGGTTCGGTGCGGCGCCACCGGGAGGCCGGGAGCCGGGCGCGCAGAGCCGCTCGCAGGGAGGGCGCGGCTGCGCGCGGTCGTAGGCGCCCTCCGCGGCGCCGCCGAGTGCAGCGGGCGCCCCGGGCGCGCAGGGTGCCCGCGCCGCCCTGCGGCCGGGTGTTGGCGGGGCACGGCGCCGGGCGGGGCTGGCCTGCCTATTTTTCCCTCCGTGGCGGTCTGCCTACCGGTTCCCTTTTTGTTTTTTGTTTTTCATGTTTTCGGTCCTACAGTTAATTCGTTAGGAGTAGCCTTGAAGATGAAATTAACCAGTCAAGACATTCCGGCCGCCCTATACGCCGGGCAATTAGGACGCATCTAATAAGAGTAATCGGGCGTTTATAAGCAAACTCCAGACTGTTACGAATTAAAAAAAAAAAAAAAAAGCCAGCGAGAGGGTGTGCCCCAACGTTGTCGTCTTCAGCTGTTTTGGAGCGAAGTTCAGGGCGCGGGTTGCCGGACATTTGGGTCCTCCTCCCTCGCTGGGCGGGGCTGGGAGGGGCGCGGCGCAGGGTACAGAGCACAGACCTTAGAGCAGGAACGCCCGGCTACGCTATTTACGAGCT
This sequence comes from Homo sapiens, assembly GCF_000001405.40. Lineage (NCBI taxonomy): Eukaryota > Metazoa > Chordata > Mammalia > Primates > Hominidae > Homo > Homo sapiens. The sequence continues at coordinate 28,391,686 of NC_000002.12, read as the reverse complement.
GTGAGATCTTGGACGAATTCCTTAACCTCTCTGGGCCTCAGTTTCCTCCTATAAAGTGAAGGAGTTTGGAGACATGACCTTAGGCCCTTCTCTGCTCTGGAGCTCCAATCCTTCCGCTGAGATGATGGTGTGTGTGAATGGAGAAGTACTGTAGCGGAAGTCAGGGAACTTAGGTTTTGGTCCAGGGTCTGTGTTAGCCTCAGTTTACCCAATTCTTAAGTAGCGCCAGCCATCTGTACCCCACAGGGTCCTTATGAGGACCCAATGTTAAGAGGTGTTGAGAGTCCATTGCTGACAACTCGCTGTGCACCGTCACACAACTTCTGTCCTCAGTTTCCTTATCTGCAAAGTGGGGGTGTTGGTAGCAGAGAAAAATAGAGCCGGGAACGCGAAGCTTTCCTGGGGCTCTATATAAAGCGCTGGCATTTCCGGGACGGCTGGCGGCATCTGGCCGCCCCAAGGGCCCCAAGATACGGTAATCCCAAACAATACTCGGGGTCATTGTTTACAGCTATAAAACACATTCTGTCCTGAACGCTATCCCCAAGGACGCGCGCGCGTGCGCGACGAGGCGAGGCCAGCCAGACTCCTCGCACCTCCGCTGCTGCCCGCTGGACAGAGTCCCCAACTCCGCAGGCCCAGGAGAGGGGTGTGGGGCAGGCGGACGCGCGCGCCGGCCGTGGGTGCTTTGCTTTTTTCTTCCCCCTCCCCATCCCTGCGTCCTGGCTTGCCTGGGTGTTTACGCGCCTCTCCCAGCAGGACTGAGTAAATGCAGTCCTTTGACGCAAAACGAATCAGTCCTTCCCCAGCGGCAGCAGCAAAACTCAGAAAACTGGGGGTGGGGGTAGGGACGGGAGGGGCACAGAAGAAATCGTGACATTTTCCCACTCGGTTCTCAGCCCCTCCCCGCGCCACGCGGGCCTCAGGCCGCCCTAGCCAAGTCTTGGGGGCTGCAAAGGGAGGCGCGGCCAAAGCGCCCTGCCTGAGCCCTCCCAGTAGCAACCGCGTGTCGGAGCGGCGCGAACAGACGCACTTTTGGTTTTCCTTTGAGCAGTAGAGGCTGCCCCGCCCTCCCCCACCTGGCGGTCGAAAATCCGGGTGCTTCTGGGTCTCTCCCACACAGTCCTTCCAGTAACGCGGGGGGAAAGAGGCGGGGGAAGGGGAGCGGGAGCTTCCTCCGCGGCCTCCGCAGTCCCGGGCGCGCCCAGCCCCGGCCAGGCGCCGCCGGGAGCGCGCGGGCGAGCGCACCCTCGCGCCCTCGCCCGCCCTCGCCCTGCCAGCTCCCCGGTCCTTTCCTTTCTTGTGGGTTCCCGTAAAGCCCAGCAGCCTGGAGACGTCTGCAGAGCATCACGGAATCTGTGCTGATGCAATTCACTAGCCTCCCTTTGGTGCGCCCTGGCCTGCCTCAGAGCGCTTTGATCCCGGCCCTCTCCTACTCCAGAACTCGTGCTGGCTCCCTCTGCCCGCCGGGAGGCTTGCGTTCCGCAGCCCGCTCACCCCCTTTCAGTCCCCCCAGCGCCGGACACACAGCGCTGTGCCCTGGTGCTGCTGCGGGACTGACCTCCCCCGGTTGAGCGAGTGCCTCAGCGAACTGTGCCTGCCATACAGAGAATTCAGTCTCCAAGTGCCCTCTCCTTGGGAAATCATTCCAGAATCATCCAGTTAGAAAGGGTCCTCTGGCTCCCTGGAATGCTAAAAATAGAGGTGACCCTTTATTGAGTGCTAAAATCAGAGCCAGGCACCATGCTGAATACAGGGCTTGTTCTGTGAAATTCTCACAGCAAACGCTGGAGGTGGGTATTATTCCCTGGTTGCAGAAGAAGACAGTGAGATTGAATAACTTGTCCAGGGGAACTGGTTAGTGAGTTAGTGATCTGTTAGGAGTGCAGCTGAGATTCTCCGACACCAGGCTCTTCTTTTTCCCCAGGACATGGCATGACCTGCCTCCTGTTGGAATGTCTTTGTCTCTCTCTTACTGGTCTTGAAAGGCATGGTCTTTATCTGGTGCATGACTTTATCCTACACTTAGAGGTGCGCCTTAATTCTCCACTGAACAAATAGCCTCAGCGGCATCCCTCAGCTTAGAGAAGAGGCCATGTCAAGTGAGGGAAGGGAAGGGGAAGAGGGAAGCTGGGGTGGGAAGAAAAGGGTAGATGAGCTGGGAAGAAAAGGGTAGGTGAGCTGTCTTCTCATTGCCTCTCTGGGTCTCTGAGACCTCTCTTGCCTTACTTTTGCCGGTCTCCTTGTTTGTCCATCCTGGCCAGTGTTTGGCCCCTGAGAGATGAGGAATCCCAGAATAGCTGCCCCCTCAGAGCTGTGCTGGCCCACACATCTCAGCACCGGATACATGAAGCCCTTTCACACACATCGCCTCATTTGTCCTTACACATGACATCTCTGAAAGGGATATAGACAGCAGAGTGACTCTGGATTGCCAGAAAGGAGGCCGAGGTGCAGAGTGTCACAGCAGCCTACTCAAAATTTTCCAGCTGTAAGTGTCAGAGCCTGAGTTCAAAGCCATCTCACCTGACTTTAAACCCAGCGCTTTGCTGTTTGCCATGCTTCCAACCTTGTAAGTTTAGGAGCAAACTCCATCTTTTTTTTTTTTTTTTTTTTTTTTTTTTTTTTTTTTTTTTTGGAGACAGTGTCTTCCTCTGTCTCCCAGGCTGGAGTGCAGTGTCGTGATCTCGGCCCACTGCAACCTCTGCCTCCCAAGTTCAAGTGATTCTCCTGCCTTAGCCTCCCAAGTAGCTGGGATTACAGGCACACGTCACTGCACCCGGCTAATTTTTGTGTTTTTTGTAGAGATGGAGTTTCACCGTGTTGGCCAGGCTGGTCTCAAACTCCTGGCCTCAAGTGATCAGCCCGCCTTGGCCTCCCAAATTGCTGGGTTTACAGGCATGAGCCACTGTGCCCAACTTACATCTCTTAATGATACACTGTCCTCTATATCCATCATGCCTGAATGAACCTGCCATCATTTCTTTATAGTAAGCCATACTTTTTGATGATATTGTAACATTTCTGAAAGCCAGATGTATCTTATAATCGATGACTATTGAATATGCAAGTGTTGCCGTTTTTGTCCAAAGACCTGTGAATCAGTCATGGGTCCATCAGGAAACAGACTTTAACCCAGATGGTTCAAAGGATGATGCTTTAATGGAGAAATTCCTTATAGAGGTATGGGCAGAGTTAAGAGGGAACTTGAGGCACCTAGAGCCTAGTAACAGCAGGAAATGATGACCATCCCTAGGGTTGAAAAGAGGAGGCAATCATGTTATTGGAGCCTAGTGAGCTTGGGACCATGAAAGAGGGGCCATCCAGCAGGTAGAGGGAAGGAGCCACTGCCAGAGATAGCCTGCTGAAAGGGAGGGAGGAGTTGGGGTCAAGAAATACCAGACCATCTCTCCCACCTCCTACCTCCTTCTCTGGCCAAATGGCAGGGGGCTGCTGATCAATGTAGTCCACTAAGGTTGGCCTCCCAGGGCACAGAGAATGGCAAAGAAGGGTAGAGAGCGCATCTAGTGGGGCACTCAGCAAATGGGGAATAACCAGTATAGATCCCATTAAGCACATGAGGGATCTAACGAGGGATCGTGTTTCAGAATGAAGGAAATAAGGTAAATCAGTGAGCCTTACACCTCACCTACTGTGGAAGTGAACAATGGAATAGCCTGAACAGCTTTTTCAAACCACATCTCCCCTCTTTACTGATACACGAAGCCACTCACAATGATACACGAGCCACTGAGGCATGTATTGTATCTCTCAGGTGTGGAGCAGAGAAAAGGCTATACCCACTGATGAACAGGGATCCACACCTGGGGAAGAAGCAAGTATGACTTTCTCTCCTGTGGCTTTACACAACCTCCTTGAAATTCCAAGAGCAACCCTCCCAGCTAAAGTCTTCTCAGATGTGACACATAAGCCTTCACCCAACATGATTCCCATTTCATGAATGGGCTATATGCCAATGGAGAAGAAATGAAGACAAGAAATATCACTCTAGAGGCAATCATAATCATAGTTTTAAAACAACAATCTCTATCTGAGTGGGGTATTACACATCTGTGGGTATGTTAAAGTTCATCCACAGGCTCTGCCCTTAGGATTACAGCATTTTCTTCATTTTACTTTATGTATGTTACCCTCAATTTAATAAAAAACAAGAAGCAAACAATGACAACAAAACCTTTTTATTTCCTTAGAACACATTTAGAGTTACATTGAAGTGTAGGCAAGACTTGTGAGAAAGCATATGCAAATGAGGCCTTTCTGGCCACCCCCACGAGGCCCCTAGGAGACTGAGTGGAATCAGTGCCCTGGTGGGGGTGGGGGAGGGGGCGGGCAGGAAGAGGGTACTTCCCTGCCACCAGTTTTTTGGTTTTTTGTTTTTTTAAAAGCCGGATACATTCCAGAGATAAAGTGACCAGTGCTATTATTCAGAAATATCTTTATGAGTCAGAACAGAAGTCACCCCTGGTAGGAATGTTTGTCAGGTTGGGAGAAGAGAAACAGGACAACTTGCCCCGCTTCTTCTCTGGTTCTAGGATCTGCACAAGCAGAGGCGGCACAGGGTTTGGCTTCCAGTTGGGAAATGAAGCTCCAAGGGCAGCCCTACTATGGCGGGCTGTGTGACCTGGGCCAAGCCCCTTGACATCTCCAGACTCGGCTTCCACATCTGCCACCACCAGGACACTGGATTGAATGTTGGGTACGTTGTAAGGCAAGGGAGACACAGAAGTCCTAAAGGCAATAAAGCTTTTCCCCACTGCCCCTCCATCTGGACGAGTCTCCTGCCAAGCATCTTCAAGTCCCACTTTGAAACACGATTCTGCCACCTTCCTGTTCTGAGGATCTGGGAAAGCAAGGGGGAAGGGGCTATTGGGAGTCCCGCTTGCTCCAGGCCCAGACCAGGAGGCTCAGGCAGGCTTATCTACTTCTGATGTGGTGGGGGGCCCAGGATGCTGCCAGGGTCTCACAGCCATGGTCTCACAGCCACTATCAGCCTGTCCTCAAGGGTATAAGAGAAGCTGGAAGCCTAGATGGGCACTGCCCTCAGGCAACTTCCAATCCAGCCAAGAAGAATAAAGAGTAACACACAAAATATTGGGGGCATGAGGCAATAACTGTGGGTACACCTATAAAAACCTCTAATTGGGCTTACCTGGTACCAGACAGTATTTTAATTGGATCATATATAGTGCATTAATTCAGTTAATATTCACAACACCCCTATGAGGTAGCTACAATTATTATCCCCATTCGATGATGGGGAAAACTGACATCAGAAGAGGTCAACTTGCCCAAGTTTCCAGAGCTGAAAAGCAACAGAGCTGAGATTTCACTGCAGGTATTCTGGCCCCAGAGTCTTGGTACAAATAGTGTTAATGAACAAGTCTTCTTCTGGTAAGAGCACCCCAATTTTCCTTTGGAGAACCTCCACTTCCTCATTTCATGTGCCATGGGTGACCCTACCCTTGAGCTCTTGAGGTGAACACATGGACACACGATCCAGTCCTGACCAAACAGAATATCTCACTTCCCTGGCTACAGTTAGTGATAGGTTCAGGATTGTAGCAATGACCCAAGACTGGCTTCTGAGAGTCACATTTGAGACTGTGGCTCAAACTCTTAGAGAAGCACTCGTTTTTCAACTGAGACACTACAGTCTTTACTACTCCTTGAAGACGGACTACCAGGAAGAAAGCCAACCTAGAGGGCTGCAAAGCTGAGCAGTGGAGAACAGCAAGTTCCTGATGACATTGTTTGATGGCCTAAACCCCATTATACTTCCACTGGTTATCTCCCTGGACTTTCCTGTTACACAGAAATTATCCCTTTTGTGTTGAAGCCAATTTGAATTGGATATCTGTCACTTACAACCAAAAAGGTCCAAATGTGCTAGTGAACACAGAGCACATACTGTGAGCAACTACTCTTTTTCTTCTTTCTTTCTTTCTTTTTTCTGAGACAGAGTCTTTCTCTGTCACCCAGGCTGGAGTGCAGTGGTGCAATCTCGGCTCACTGCAACCTCTGCCTCCTGGGTTCAAGTGATTCTCCTGCCTCAGCCTCCCGAGTAGCTGGGATTATAGACACGTGCCACCACGCCCGGCTAATTTTTGTATTCTTAGTAGAGACGGGGTTTCACCATGTTGGCCAGGCTGGTCTCGAACTCCTGACCTTGTGATCTGCCCACCTCGGCCTCCTAAAGTGCTGGGATTACAGGTGTGAGCCACCGCGCCCGGCCCGAGCACCTAAGCTTTTCAAGACATTTCCAGAAAAACAAATGCAGGTAAGAAAGGATCAGTCTTCAAAGAACTTGGAAGCTGGTGAGGGATTACAAAGATTCTCAAATAACTTTAAAACAAGTCAGAACACAATTGACAGCACAAGGCAGCTACCCGGGTTCTCTGGTTAATGCAAAGGGTGAGAATTTTCTATATTGGATGGAACACATCAGAAAAGTTCTCACGAAGGTGGTAGCAGTGAAATTGGCCTCAGAAGTCTGATAGGATGTTGGCAGGTGAAGGCAGGGAAGCTACAGGGCAGACAGCATGAGGAAGGGCCCAGGTTCAGGGAAGTATGGGCATGCAGGGGCAAGTGTAAATTGATGGGATTGCCTGGGACCAGAGGAAAGGTCTAAAACGTACAGTCTGAGGCTGGGGCGGGGTGGGGAAAGGATGGTTCTGAGGTATCTGAAGTATCTCCAAATATCTGAAGATATTCCCCATGGAAAAGAAACTAGGCTTATTTGGAGTGACCCCAGAGGACAAGACTACGACTAAAAATGGACGCTCGCAAATGGAGGAAGTAGACCTGACCCCTGACTAAGGAAGATGGTGCTACCTGTTTGGGGCAAATGTTCAAAAAGAGGCTGTGTCTGTATGGTGGATGCTGTTAAAAGGGACTCAGAAACCAAATGAGAGTCTGAATTAGCTGAGTTTAACATTCTGTGAGTTTTGTGCCAGACTTGGGACTACTGCAGAAGACCCTGGGAGAGTTGGGATTGAATTCCAAAGGCAGTGCTGATGGACACTGACTTGAGGAGCCAGGAAAGAAGGCAGGAACAGTGGTGGGGATCACAGCCTCACCTGTATCTGTGCACTTCTATAAATTCACAGACTGGGAATTTTTAATGTGAACTGGATATTAGATGATGACCAGGAATTGTTTTAATTCTGTTAGGTGGGATAATACCATTCACTGTGCTGTGTAAGATAATGTCCATATTGTTTAGAGATGCATACTGAAGAATATAGGATGAAATGACATAATGTTTGGATTTTTTATTTTAAATATTTCAGCAAAATGTGGGGACAAATTTTATATACATTATTTTTTCACACATATGTGGTATTCATATATACACAAATGTATATATTACACACATGTATATGTACATACATATATGGGTGTATATCTATGTGGGTATGTGTATATGCTACATGCATGTGCATAGCTGGTTAGCAAATAGAATAGTTAACAAAATAAGCCAGACACAAGATAATACATATTGTTCCATTATATACTTTTTTTTTTTTTTTTGAGACGGAGTCTAGCTCTGTCACCCAGCTGGAGTGCAGTGGCACAATCTTGGCTCACTGCAACCTCCACCTCCCGGATTCACAAGCGATTCTCCTGCCTCAGCCTCCCAAGTAGCTGGGATTACAGGCCCCTGCCACCATGCCTGGCTAATTTTTGTATTTTTAGTACAGACAGAGTTTCACTGTGTTGGCCAGGCTGGTCTCAAACTCCTGACCTCGTGATCCGCCCGCCTCGGCCTCCCAAAGTGCTGGAATTACAAGCATGAGCCACGTGCCTGGCCTATATACATTTTTTTAAGGCAAATGAATCTATGATGGTAGAAGTCAGGGCATGGTTGGCCTTGTAGGGTCAGGGGAAGGCAGAGACGAGAGGGGTCCAAGGGCCTCTGGTGCTGGCTGAGTGCTGTTTCTAGGCTGAGTAATGTGTGCACAGGCCTGCTGGCTCTGTGCAAACTCATTGAGCTGTGCACATGATTTGTGTACCTTATGTATGTTTTAGACTTCAATAAATTCACTCCAAAATACCACCCCCTACACACAAACACACAGACACAGACACACAGACACACACACACACAGACACACACACACACACACACACACACACACACACACACACACACACGGGGAGAGATCTGAAGTAAGTAGGATTCCTCCATTGATCATTTCTTGAGAAGCGGGGAGAAGACATGCTCTGGGCTATGCTTTAAGCAAGAGTTTTCCAAACAAATTTGCTACTTTCCAGAGTGAGATGTTTTTTTCCCATGACCCATGGGGCATATGTCATGGGCTGCAGCCTGAAGTTGAAAAGTCTGGTTTTAAGCTGATCTCTCTGGTGGCAGGGTAAAGAATGGAAGGCAACAGGAAGAGCCCAGAGAGGAGGCTGGCAGCTTGTGTCTTCTGCCATGGTTCAGGAGAGAGGTAGGGAGACTCTGTAGCAGGGCCAGGTGACAGGAAGGCAAGTGTGCTTCAGAGAAAGAGTCCAGCTTCATTGTGTGGGCAGGCCCTGCCACTCCAGCTGCCTGGGGTATGCTCAGAGGGACAGGGGAGGCCTGCACAGACTCAGCCAGACACCCCAAGGACAACACACGCAGAGTGCAACCAGGTGCTGCCAGAATCCCCATGAGTGTCCCCCTGGGTGTCAGCACACCCACCCCACACCCCATGGATCAGCTGCTGTGGGTCACTGAGCACGTGCGCTGCTGCCTGGGGCCCACACTCCCCACGCCCCTAAAGACACACAGAGCCTGGGGAGTGGTGGCTCTGTTATCTGCGCCAAGGAGCAGATCATGCGATATCCTGCTCAGGACACGTGAGAGGAGAGGGAATGTTCCTGGAAAGACAGAAGCAAGGGAGGAATGAAGAAAGGGAGGGAAGGTGGAAGGGACTCCACTGGTTTTTCTTTTGAGGCAACTGTGATGTTTCCAGAAAGAGCCTTACGTTTGTAGGCAAAAAATGGGGGTTTGATTCCTGGCTCTGCCAGTTGGAGCTTCGGTAACCTTGACAAAGTCACTTCATCTCTATATACCCAGTTCATCTGGAGCAAAGAATGTTGATTGTGTCCTTAGCACACAGCAGAAAGGGCCATGAGCTTAGGCCACAGAGGCCTGGGTTCAAATCTTGGTTTTGCTACCTGATAGCCAGGGGACCCTGGGTAGGTACTGAACCCCTCTGCGCCTCACTTTCCTTCCTTGTGATGTGGTGATGATAACAACACCAAGATTTCCAGGCCACGGTGAGAATTACACATGTATGTATTTATCTAACTATCCACCCACCGTCTGTTTATTTATACTCTGCCTTATTCCCAAAAGGATTTCTCTAGCTATAGGAAGATTCACTGAAACAGCCCGGAAGGGGCATGGCACATGGGTGATGCCCACAGTGTTACATTCCTTTCTCTGCCCATCTCACAGGGTTGTGGTGAGGCTCCAGTGGGATAATGTTTCTGAAAATGTCTCACAAAGTGGGAAATTTCATACACATGCAAGTGGGGAAGAAAGGAAGGGTCTGGGGAAGCTGAGGCAGGAAAGCGTGTCCAGCAGCTCACAGAAAAAAGAGTTTGGGCTGCTGAAGCTCTGAGGTCTTCCACCTACCAGCTGGGGGCCCCTGTGCTGTGGCATCTGGAATAAAGCAGATGTGGGAGAAGCTGCGTCTACAGGATCCTGTAGTGTCAGAACTAGAAGGAACCTGAGAGTGTATTTGGTGCAACCCCCCACCATTATACAAATGTGGGAACTGTGGTTCAGAGAGGGAAACAGCCTTGCCTCACATCACCCAGGGCACCAGAGGCAGAGCTGGGCCAAGACCCCCCATTTCCTGATGCCAGGCGCAGGGTGCCATTTCCACTGCCCCATGCACCTGGGAGCCCAAGGCACCTCCCTCACTCTGGCCTGGGGCACCTGGAAGCAGGTCTGCAGGAACTTCACTTCCCAGGAGGAATTCTGGGAGCTTACAGCAGAAAGGCTCAGTCCGCTCACCTGTAAGTGTGCCTGGGGCCCTACCCTGTTGACATGCCCAGGGGCTCCTGAGTAGTGACGTTAGCCAATGAATAGAACCCGCAGCCAAGACCAAACACAGGGCCTTATTGTTAGGGACACTGATTACTGCACTGGGTTGGGCATTTATTTATTATCACCTCTTTCTTTTCATTAACAGAAAGCAAACATTCCCCACCCCAGTAGCTAGAAGGCGACTTACCTGCACAAGAAGACAGGTGATGTCTCTCAAGGCTGGGTTAGAAGCAGATCCGACCTACTTACACAGTCCTTCCATCAGATCCAACGCAGGCGAGGGGAGGAGAGATTCAAGTCACACCTAGCGAGAGCACCCTCAGGATGCAGAGGCTGTTACTAAACAATGTCGAAAGCTGTGGTGTGGGGTCAGGAGCCAGACAGATCTGGCCCTGCTCCGCGCTTTGCTTCCTCCCTGAGCCTCGGTGTCTTCACCTGTAAGATTTTAGAGGTTAAAAGGATTAAATAATATATATGTGTCAGCAGCTAGCATGGTATCTGGTACAGGGCACTCAGTAAACAGCTGTATCTCAGGGCACAGCGAACCTTGTTTCTGCAGATGAAACTGTTGGGTAACAGACACTCCATAAAGGTTGATCCTCTGAGGCTGAGTGTCCTCTTCTAGGAGTCTTAAAGACAGAAAATGATAGGAGAGGGTAATAGCCCACATGTCATCTCACGCTGGGCAAGGGGAGAAACGTGGTAGCCTTTTCAAGACACTCCATTCTCCTAGTTCAGCTTTCCTGTCAACGTTTCCGTCTCTCTCAGAGCTCGCAGCCCCACCGATTCCATCAGTGAGTGATCTGCAGTCTCTCTCATTCTTCCATTAGGACAAATCATTCAGATCCTTCTTTCTCCCCACTAGAAGCACCTTTCATTTGGGAGGTCCAGGTATTCTTCTTGCTCCCACTTCATAAGCTTCAACTCCTTTGAGATTGTGTGTGTGTGTGTGTGTGTGTGTGTGTGTGTGTGTGTGTGTGTGTTTCCGCCCCCCACAGCCAAGGTAGAAGTTAATTGAGACCTTCAAATAAAGCTTCCAGAAGACCTGATTCAGAGACAGCATTACCTAACGAGGATGGCTGAGCAGTGCTGAGTCTGAAGTTGAGACAAGGTCTGGATCTCCAGGGGACAGAGCAACAGAAATACTCCTTACTTCCCTGGCTTCCTCCCACAGGGGCCCTCCGCTTCCTGTAGTGCCAGGTAGGAGCTAGAGAGGCCCAGGGCCCCTAGGCGGAGGCCATCGCCCACAGCCTCACCCTGGCTGTCTGTGGCTTGGGGCAGGGGCCTCTAATTTTCCAGATTATTTGTTACCTCCAGCAAAATGCTTAACAACAGCGCTAGGGATGGGCATCTGAGCACATGAACGATTAGGTTTGACCTAAACAGATTGTGAAAGCTGGAAAAGACCCCGAGGCATCACTGAAAGCATTTCCCCAAAGAGTGAGGAAGTTTTGCAAGGTGATAGAAGATGGTAGTGGATAAAAGCACTGTATTTTCAAATAAGTTTGGAAAATATTGGGGTTAAGTGGATTTCTTTACTTAGGACTTCTCAGAGCCTTTAATGTACCAGTGCAAATTGGGACTCTCCAGGATGCATTTCTCAAAAGCATCCCATGAAACGGTGATTCGGCCACTCTCTGGTGTTACGGCGAGGAAACAGGCACAAAGTCCTAGGGACAGGGCCACCAGGGAGACCGGAGTCTCTGCATTTTCCCTGGTATCAAAACTAAGCCCATTCATCCTTTTTCTCATTTTGTTTTTGCCTTGTAATCAGGGGCAGAGGTGGTGGGATTGGAGGGTTTATTTATTTAGATGTATGTACTCTGAAGACCAGAACTAAGGCCAGTGGGTAAAAGTTCCTGTTGAGCAAAATTTCAGCTCCACCCAAGTAAGAACTTTAAAATAATTAGACCTGTTTGGACATAGATGGAGCCAACTCATGCAGTAGTGAGCCGCCCATCACTAGAGGGGTCTAAGCCACAACCTACCAACCACTGAATGGTATAGCAGGTTGAATGGTGGTCTCCCAAAAAGATAGGTCTGTGTCCAGATCCCGGGAACGTGTGAATGTGAGCTTATTTGGAAAAAGGGTCTTTGCAGATGTAAGGAGGTTAAGAATCTTGAGAGGAGGAGATCATCTTGGATTCTTGGATTATCTGGGCAGACCCACAATTCAACAGGAAGTATCCTTATAAGAGTGGGGTAGAGGGAGATGACGCACACAGAGAAGGCCTCACAAAGACAGAGCAGAGACAGATGCAGGGACAAGCTAAAGAATGCTGACAGCTCCAGAAGCTGGAAGTGATGAGGAATGGATCTCCCTAGGGCCTCCAGAGGGAGCGAGGCCCTGCCGACACCTTGATTTCCGACTTCTGGCCTCCAGAACTGTGAAAGAGGAAGAGTCTGTTATTTTAAACCACCAAGTTTGTGGTCCTCTGTTATAGCAGCCACAGGAAACCAAGAGAGGTAGGGGTGCTGAGGAGGAAGGCGGCGAAGGAGTCTGCACTGAGTGATCCCAGGGCCTCTTCTGACCCCCTGCCCACTGGTCGTCACCCCCCATGATACCTTTGATTCGGTGATGGGATAACTGTGGTAGGATTCCGCGTCTGTCCCGGGAAGGGGGAAAGCAAATGGACTCAGCTTCAAGGCAGAACTTGAGCTGCTGCTTCCGCAGCTCTGCCAGAGCCACCAGCAAAGGTGCCTACTTTGGCCTCTTTAGAAGATAGTCCCTTAAAGTCAAAGAACCTACAACCAGCTTCTAGCCCCCAGGGTGTCATACCATCTCCACTAAGTGGTCAATGGGCTGCCAGGCAGGTGCCAGTCAAGACTGGCTGAGAAGCTACGAGTTGGGCTATGAGACCAGCTTCAGTCAGTGTCAGTCAGCACAGGGAGGCTGAGCAGCTCAGGCACCGGCTGCAGCTACAGAGGCCTTGCTGGGTCTGTTTTGTGTCCTGGGGTCTCCTGCCTCAGGGACAGAAATCAGCCCAGTGACCCTCCCCCTGCCATAGGCACACACAAGGGAGGAAAGCTGGCACCCATCCTCCACCCCATGTGCAGCCTGTTCCCTTCCTCTGCTACACGCGTGCACTCTTACACGCACTCAGGAGCTCTGTTGCAACAGCCTCTGTGCCCGGAGACAAGCGATAACACGCCCTCCTGCCCGTCTCTTCTTGCCTTTAGTGCCTGGCAAATTAAGACCAAACCCAAGTTGCAGGGCAAAAGAGGATCAATTACCAGGTAAAGGAGGAGGCTGCGGTTTGAATGTCTCAGCAGCATTTTGGGGAGACCTGGGGACAGGATAGAGAGGGGCTGAGGCCAGTGCTCCCTTCAACACTGCCAGTTGTCCAGATGCCTGCAACCATTGGTAAAAGCAAGTCTCAGTTGCTTTGTCCCTAAAGCCAGGAGCCCAGCTGGTTGTGTCAATCAGGGCTGGCCACTCCCTTCAGGGCTGGCCACTCCCTTCCTCTTTGGGGAGCAGAATGAGCTTTGCCCACCTGGTAGAGCGGTGCTGGGTGTCCTGGGCAGGAGTCCCAGCCCTGGCACACCTGTGTGTGCAGTCTGACTGGCTTACCTAGAGCCCAGCAGCCCTCAGTGTCCTCCCTCCTTCCCTCCCTCTCAGGGTGGGGAGGGTTCCCACCTGCCCAGCTTCAGTCCGGGCAGACCCATGCTTCCCCCCACACCCTCAGAGACCCAGGCATCCACCTTCAGAGGTGGCCTCTCTTTACCTGTTGGTTCCCCCTTTCCAAATTAACCCCAAACCCCAACACCACTCCCCAAACCTGAGTCTGGGGGGAAGGGAACGTGGCATTCTCCCCTTTCTAGGTCAGAAATGTTTTGTAACCAAGCCCTCGGGCTCTGCAAATGTTTGCTTGCAGGTTGCTTTGCTCAGCTGGGGCAGGGCTGGGCTGAAGCCCCCATGTCCTCAACTGCCTTCTTCCCCTCCCTTCACCACCCTAATTTCAGGCTCAACTGTGCGCGTTTAGGGCTTCATTAAACTCTTGTCTTGCTTTCAGAAGAGACACTTTCTGCCCCAGGGAGTTGCTACCATGCTTTGTGGAGAGGGCAGGTCCGAGCAGGCTCCAGGTGAGGGCCTGTTGGGAGGGAGAAGGAACATCCTTGCTGGAAGCTGCCTAGAGGTGGCCAAGGGGAAGCTAGCGGGGCGGGAGGCTCAGAGGGTGCCCACCTTGGTGAGGGTCCCCCCGGCACAGAGGGTCTCCCTATCTCCACCACCACCGCTGCGTGCCTCGTTCAATGATCGCAGGTCGCGGTGTCCAGGTCACCCTGTTCCCAGTGCCTGCCCCGCCCTGCCCCACCCTGCCCAGCCAGCGAGCAGGAGCCTCCCGCACCTCCCAACTACTGCTGGCCGCACCCTGCCCTCACCGTCAGGAGGGCCAGGCCTCCCACCCCAAGGGACCTCGCCCACTCTGCCCTCACCTCGCACGTGGGGCCAGGCCCCCCCATTCCAAGAGACCTTGCCCACCCTCCTGGGGCCCTCGAGAGGAGGAAAAGGATCCAGAAAGTGGGCTCTGTGATCCAGACCCTCAACGCAGGCACGTGGTGACCACACTCCCAACCACTAGGACGGACCTGCCTTGTACTGGTCCCAGGAAGGACTCCATGGGGTGAAACTTTCTAGAGAAGCATGTCTCAAAGGGCCTGCTGGCTTCGAGGCCTGGGTTTGCCCCTTACTACCTGTGTGTCCTCCAGCAGATTACTGCATCTTTCTGAGCCTCAGTCTCCCCGTCCGTAAATTGAGGGTACTATACCTGTTCCCTGAGGTGTCCAGGGGAATGGAAAGACATAACGTAGGAGAGAAAGCCTGTTGCTCACTTAGGTAAAAGGCTACACAGACATGAGATATTACTTCTATCAAGGCTGGGCAGGCTGTGAGGAAAACTGTAATAGAGCTTTTAGCATTGTCCCCAAAAGAAAATGCTACGTGCACCGCCCCCATTTCATTCTGTAAGTGCTGTGTTCCCTGCATGCTCTCTCCCTGGCCAAGAAAAGCTCATCTTGCCACCCCCTGCATATCTTTCCTTGGGCTTCACAAGCCCCCTCAGGATTACTTCATGGGTATTCTCCATTGCTGTTTTTACCAACAGGGAAACTGAGGCAAGGAGCAGGAAGGCCCTTGTGCAGATCACACAGTATGTCTGTGAGATGGCCAGGAGCCCGAGCCGGGGCTCCCGACACCCTGCTGGATCTTCAAGGTCCTGCCACTGTCTCTGGGATGAATCTGCTTTCTAACATTCTTTAAGCTTATGCAGGGGCAATCATGAAAAACAGACAGTGTTCTGAAGAGTGTGGCTCTAAGTTAAGGGACTTGGGACTGTCAGAGCTGGCAGGGACCTCAGAGGTCTCCTAGGTTAACCCCTTGGAGCACTGGGCCTGGCAGAAGGGGAGTAGCTGTCCCATCACACGGCTCTGGTCTCAGAGCCTCTCTGCCCCAAACAGAGATGGGCTCACCCCTCTGTCCCAGGAAGCATGGTCCTCCCCCAGAGAAGCTCAGAGGCAGGACATGTCCCCAGGTGATCCCCGGTCAGTCCAGGTGACCCTGCTGTCTCCATTCTTCTGTGGGATGACACTGAGCCCAGGACCCCAGGCTTTCCATCTTCCGCTGGGAGGCCCCAGAGCTGCAGTCTCCACACACTTCAAAGGCCTTCTGGACATGATCTCATTCAGCCTCACCTGCTCGCTTGGGGTTGGGAGGGGGCGGGGAGAGGTCATTGAAGAACAGTGACTTGTCACAGCCACACCCTTGAGCAAGTCAGTGTTCCTCTGTGTACCTCAGTTTCCCCATCTCTAAAATGATGGTTAATAGGACCTAGTGCTAACAGTACCTAGATGGCCTGCAGTTGTATTAGGGCCAATGAAGGCAACAGCAAGTTGCCTCATGGGAACACTATGCCCTTCCTCACAGGTAGGAGGAGGCCACAACACAAAAGTTCCTTTTATGGGATCTGGTGTATGTTGGAGGTTGAAGGTCATTAGCCCTACTAGCCATAGAGGCCTGGGGGTGGGGATGCCAGGCTGCCAACCCCATCAAGGGCTCAGTGGACAAATGAGTCCGTAGTCTATCTTTTTTGGAGGAGGCCCACTTACTTCCTGAAGACATTCAGGAACAACCCTATAAATGCTACTTCTCTTCCCAAATCGCCAGGCCAGGCCAGCAAAGCCCATGCTTATGGGCCTCCTCCTGTTTTCCCAAGTCTCCCCTCTGCAGCCACTCCAAGGGCCCTGGTGGGCTGGGAGGCTCTACTGCTGCCCTGCTGGGCTCCTGCCCCCTGCCGGGCTGGGTGGAAGCCCCCATTGTCTGAGTTCTTCCCAAGTGGCAGGGGGCTGTGAGTTCCAACCTTCATAGGATTTCTAACTTACTGTGTGGCCTCAAGCCAGTCTCCTGGCTTCTCTCAGTTTCCCCACCAGTAAAATAGGGCTAATGACCATCAGCCTCCTGCGCTGGGGTGTTGTGAGAATAATTAAGGTTTGTGAAGGGCTTTGAGATCCGTGGATGAAAGGCCCTGGAGAAGGAGAGTGTTATTATCCATTATTAGTACTGTTATTTTCCACGCAAGGATCTCAAAGCCTTTCAAAGACAGTAATTAGTACCTTGCAGGGGTGTTTTGAGGGTGATTAGTTCCATTTCATATATGGGAAAACTAAGGCACAGAAAGAAATCAAAACAGGGCAGAAGGGTAGGTGCTCACCTAGTATACCTAGAATTTGATGCTGCCCAGGCTTGGGTGCCCCCGACCCCCAGGGTCCACTTAGGGCACCTTCCTTTGGACCAGTCAGAGTCCACAAGGGGCCAGTGAGAGGCTCAGAGCAGGCACCTCATGACCTGCTTTCCTGATTCTTCCCTCCGCCTCGTGCTGCACCAGGAAGTGTGCACCGGGCAGCCCATCTTCAGTCTGGTTGGGCAGCAGAAGCTGGCATTGAAGGCACTGGAAAGAGGGCAGCTGCAGGAGATGGAAGCATAGGGCATGAAAGGGCAGAGACAGTCAAGACCCCGGGCAACCCCTTTGCTCCGGGGCTTTGAGAACAGACTCCCTCTTTTTCTCTGCACTCCCCAAACTCCTCTGGTCACCTTGTATGTGGGATCACGTCGAGCCTTGGGTGAACCAAGGGCAGCCCAGCCTTTCAAGCTATCTTTACGGGAGCAGCTAAGAGAAGTAGAAACAGGAGGTTACAAGACTGATGAGGTGGGGTGTGTGCCAGGCTGCCCACCACATTGAGGGGACAAGAGAGTCCTTGGTTTACCTTTTCAGGAAGACATGCATTTGCTTCCTGGGCACAATCAGGATCCCCTGGTGCTTGTGGTTGGTTCTATGGCGCCCTGCCATGTGGATACGGTGACTATTAAAAAAAAAAAAAAGTGTCCCAGAGCTAGTAATTTGAAGATAGGTTGCACTTGTTTGCATAATAAGTCATAATTCCAAGCACGTAAAGTAAAATCAATTCATTAATGCAGCAAGCTGCAGAGGCATTCAACAGAGGTATTCAACAGCAAGCCCAGCCTCAGAACATCAATCCCTACCAGGGTTGCCCTGTTACACAACTCCACGCAATCGTCCTGCAACCCACTCCCTAGGACAAGAGCACGAGATGAGAGACATTGATACTCAGTGGTGTATTGGTAAATGTTTAATATCCAGTTCTTAAAAAAAAAAAATCCAAGTAACCCCCAAAACCCAAAACAACAATAACCTGATGTATAGCATTTGCAAATTGTCATGTTAGGGAAATTCAGGGAAGACTCTCCAGGTTGGCCTATGTTTGCTCTGAAAAATAGGGGTTAGGTCATCTGACAAAAAAGGATGGGGAGAGAGACAGGTGGGGGCTCGAGGACAGAGGTAAAAGTTTGGAAACTCTGTCTCAGGAACGCAAGGGGCTGTTGACCACAAGTAAAAGCACTCGTGAGCATTGGGCACCACACATTTGCAGTGGCACCTGTTGGCAGAGCTGTGCAAAAGCCAGTTGCAGGGTAACCTGGGGTGGTGTTAGGTTTATTCACTAGTAATTTATTTTAAAATAACTTTAAACTTCCAGAAACATTTCAAGAACAGTACAAGGAACTGCTATATCCCCTTCACCCAGTTTCTCTGATTGTTAACATTTTACCATATTTGTGCCTTCTCTCTCTCTCTGTGCCTCCCTATTCCTGTCTCTTTCTCTTCCTATGTATATATGTATAGAGAGTTGCATCTGTTTTTTTTTTGTTTTTTTTTTTTTTTGCTGAACCATTTGAGAATTTCAGAACAATTTATAGACTCGATGCCTCATTACCCCTAAGTACTCCAGTTTATATTTCCCCAACACAACATCTTCTCCTTGTTACTATCATTAAATCCTCCAAATTAGGAAGTCATAATTAATTTAACACCATCCTCCAACCCATGGACCCCATCCAGATTTCTCCAACTGTCCCAATGATGCCTCATTTGCCTTTCTGGTCCAGGTTCCAAGTCAGGGTTCTGAGCTGCGTTGAGTTGTCATGCCTCATTAGTTTCCTTGAATAGGAAACAGATCTTCAATCTCTCCTTGTCTTTTGTGACCTTGACAGTCTTCAAAAGTTTGGGCCATTTATTTGGTAGAATATGGCCCCCCAAATGAGTCTGTCAGTTGCCACTCTGGGGCTGGGCATTCTTGGCAAGGATGCCACAGAAGAGATGCCATGTTCTCCTCGGGGCATTACACATTGGGCTTATGATTCTGACCTGTCCCACCATTAGTGATGTTAACCTTGACACCAGGTCAGGTTGGTGCCTGAAAGATTTCTCCACCATAAACTCACCGTCTTTCCCTTTGCATTTGATAGGTATGTGGTGAGGAGATGCCAAGACTATAAAGCCTGTTCCTCATCAAATCTCGCCCACCAGCCTTAGCATCGTTTGATGACTCTGACCTTAATCAATCACCATTATGATGGTTGCCAAACAGTGACTATTTCTGTCACTCACTCTACATTTATCAGCTGGCATTCTACTGTAAGAGTTTTCCTTTCTCCCTCATTTATTTATTCATTCATTCACTTATATCCATCTGGACCCATGGATCTCCACTGTAGTCAAAGCGTTGTGATCCGTTACTGTAATTATTTCTTTTGATGCTCAAATTCTCTCAGTTTTAGTCAGTAGGAGCCCCTTCAGGCAGACTCCTGTGTCATTTTGACATGTCCGCGTTGTTCTTTGAGCACTTCCTTACTTTCTGACACAAAAAGATGTTCCAGTCTCATCTTGCATTATCTCTGTTCCAGTCCTGGGATCACCCCTTTCTCCAAGGATCTCTGGTTCTGTTTAGTGGAGAATGGCATTTATTTATTTATTTACTCATTATTATTATACTTTTAAGTTCTAGGGTACACGTGCACAACGTGCAGATTTGTTACATATGTATACATGTGCCATGTTGGTGTGCTGCACCCGTTAATTCATCATTTACATTAAGTGTATCTCCTAATGCTATCCCTCCCCGCTCCCCCTACCCCACCACAGGCCCCGGTGTGTGATGGTCCCCACCCTGTGTCCAAGTGTTCTCATTGTTTAATTCCCACCTATGAGTGAGAACATGCGGTGTTTGGTTTTCTGTCCTTGTGACAGTTTGCTCAGAATGATGATTTCTAGCTTCATCCATGTCCCTACAAAGGACATGAACTCATCCTTTTTTATGGCTGCATAGTATTCCATGGTGTATATGTGCCACATTTTCTTAACCCAGTCTATCACTGATGGACATTTGGGTTAGTTCCAAGTCTTTGCTATTGTGAATAGTGCCGCTGTAAACATACGAGTGCATGGGTCTTTATAGCAGCATGATTTATAATCCTTTGGGTATATGCCCAGTAATGGGATGGCTGGGTCAAATGGAATTGCTAGTTCTAGATCCCTGAGGAATCGCCACACTGTCTTCCACAATAGTTGAACTAGTTTACAGTCCCACCAACAGTGTAAAAGTGTTCCTATTTCTCCACATCCTCTCCAGCACCTGTTGTTTCCTGACTTTTTAATGATCACCATTCTAACTGGTGTGAGATGGTATCTCATTGTGGTTTTGATTTGCATTTCTCTGATGGCCAGTGATGGTGAGCATTTTTTCATGTGTTTTTTGGCTGCATAAATGTCTTCTTTTGAGAAGTGTCTGTTCATATCCTTCGCCCACTTTTTGATGGGGTTGTTTGATTTTTTCTTATAAATTTGTTTAAGGAGAATGGCATTTAAAAATTGAGATCTGGGGCTTTCTAGCTTACTGCTACTGGGGTATCATTGCCTCGTAGTAATTGCCTCTAATCAACAGCATCGGTTGTCAGTTCCAGAATGATGTTAAACAATAGTGGCAAATCCTGGCATCCTCTTCTTGTGCCTGAGTTGAACATCAATATCCCTCGTGTTTCAGCATCACGCATGGTGCTGCCTATTGGTCTGACACAGGTATTTTTTAATCACATCAAAGAAGCATACTTCTATTTCAGTTTTACTAAGAGATTTTTTTTAAAGCAGCTATGTTGGATGTTATATGTTTCTTGGCATCTATCTAGATAGTCAAATTGTTTTTCCTCTTTTGACCTATTAATGGGAATTATAGTACAAAGTTCAACAGTATTAATCATGCTTGCTTTCCCTGAATAAACTCTATTTGAGCAGGATGTATTTTTATAATATAATGTTTGATTCATTGTGCTAATATTTCACTTAGAAATTGTGCGCTTAACAGTCCCAAGTGAAAAGAACCTAGCATTCCCTTTTTTATCATTGTGTTCAGATGCTGGCATTGGAGGTGAGGTGGAAATAGAATACAAGTGAATGTGTAACAGAACTGAGAGACTGGGGGCCATGGAGGGAGGGAAGGAGGAGCAGTGGGGAGAAAGGAGGTGGTAGTCCCTGCAGGCCTAAGGGAGAGTTGGGTGCACAGGAAGGTACAGTCTGAAGGGGGATTTTAAGAATGGAGCCCTTCCAGGTGGGGACAAGGCTCAGATTTTGGCCAGGGAGTGGCTTGCTGAGAGAAAGCTGAAAGTCCACAGGATTGCAGAGGTCAAGAAGCTGTAGGCAAGGGTACTGGATGGGTTGCCTGCCAGGGTGTCGAAATCTTCCCAGGTGGTGGCCCAGAGGCTGGCTGAGTCAGTGCCATGGCGAGTGGGGTCATGACTTGGAGGCCAGTTGGGGGATTACAACTTGGAAAGGAGAAGGGAAAAGCCCCCAAAGTGGGAGGCAGCTTGTTTTTCTTTTTCTTTTTCTTTTTTCTTTTTTTTCTTTTTTTTTTTTGAGACACAGTCCGGTTCTGTTGCCCAGGCTGGAGTGTAGTGGCACAATCTCTGCTCACTGCAACCTTGGCCTCCCAGGTTCAAGCGATTCTCCTGCCTCAGTTTCCCAAGTAGCTGGGATTACAGCCCTGCACCACCATGCCCAACTAATTTTTGTATTTTTAGTAGAGATGGGGTTTTGCCATGTTGGCCAGGCTGGTCTCAAACTCCTGGCCTCAAGTGATCCACTCACCTCAGCCTCCCAAAGTGCTGGGATTACAGGCGTGAGCCACCGTGCCGGCCTATTTTTGTTTGTTTGTTTTTTGTCTTTTGTTTTTTTTTTTTTTGAATGAGGGTGAAATAGCCTGATACAGACCAGTGTGGAGCTGGAGAGAGCCACCCTGTCCTCTCCTCAGCTCAGGTGAGGACGTGAGAGCCAGGGGAGCTGAGAGCCCTGCTCCTGGAGGCCAGGGATTGGGGAAAACAAAGTGGCCAGGCCGCAGAGCTAGGACGGCTGGAACCGCTGCTGAAGGAGGGGCAGCTGTTCTATCCCAACCCCGGGACCAATTCAGTTAAATGAGTTCACAGATGTAAAGCACTTAGTGCCTGGCACTGAGCAAATCTAGTAGCACTGTTATTATTAATTTGTACAAAGTAATTAAATGTTTTTCAAGTAATGCTAAAAGGCAGTTCCAGACACTGCCCATGAAATGTGATTGACACATTCTGCTACAGGCAGGCAAGATGATCTTTCCCCCACTTTCCCCACTCTCGTTCTCATTTACAGTTCCTTCTGGCAGCCTTTCATATCAGCCAGGCCCTGGCTCAAAGCTCAGAGGCCACACTGACAAGTGGCACGGACTCGGGCAAACTTGGGCCTCATCTGTAAAATGGGTAACGATGCCTCCTGGAGTTGGAAAGGGCATCTGTGCTATGGTCCCCTGAGCTATGTTCCAGCCGGCACCCTGAGCCCAGGATCACCAGTGCCACAGAATTGGTTGCTGCTCAGAGGCTGAGCAGATCCCAGGAGCAGAAAAGGGAAGAGAGAGGGGCAGCCCCAGCTGGGTTCTGGAATCCCACAGCCCAGGCAGAGGAGCAGGAAGGAAAGGAGATAGGGAGAGGGCTTTTCATTCCACAGAGGCGGTAATTCATCATGTCTTAAGATCCAGGAATATAATCCAGACACTGGGAACTCCAAGGCTCAGGAGCAGAGAAAGGCTAAGTTCCTTCACCTGTGGTTAGGTGGGTGGTCTCTGCAGTTCCCCATTTAAACTGGGAACTAAGAAACCAGCCACTACCAAGTGCCTCTATCTGGCCCATTTCTGGCCATGGTCTTAGTCCCAAAGGCCCTTCTAGGGGCCTTGGGTGGTCACTGGCCCTTCCCAGGGTCCCTGGCGGGGTTCCCGCTCCCCCGAGTAGACTGCTCACTCCTCAAGGGATGGAGCCGGCAGGAAAAGCTGGGGTGAACTTGGGGGCTTGTCCTAAAAACGCCTCATCACAGAGCTGGAAGGGACAGAAAGGAGGGCCAGGTTGGAGCTTCTTGCACTTACTGTGAGGCTCTCCCAGGGGGCCTTCATCCTGGTGCGCTGCTGGGCAGGTAATGATGAAGATACGAACATTCATTCACACCTGTCCCAGGTCTCATTTCACAGGTGAGAAAACTGAAGCTTGCAGAGTTAAATGTACCAAACCTAATAGAGGTGGTGAGTGTCAGAGCAGGATTCGAACCCACATCTTCAGAGTCCCGATGCCTGTGCGCTGGCCCCCTCCACGTGCAGTGCACAAGTATTGAGTGAGTGGGGTGAGCCCAGCTCTGGCCAGGTGTTGGGGAGGGGTCAGGCAGGGCCAGAGGGTACATGGTGTAGAACGAAGAGGCTGGATTGCAGGGGACACACTGGACTCTCAGTCTCAGCTCAACTACACCATCAGGGGCCTCAGCGAGTTACTTAACCTCTCTGCCCTCGGGTGCCCATGGTGGAAAATGGGAATAACAGTTCTGGCAGAGAGATGCGGAGAGGAGTAAGTCAGAAAATGTAGGTATAACCCAGATATCAGCGGGGGACTCCCAGCTTCCTGAGGTCTAAGCATGATGAATGTGAACCCCCATGCCAGGGGCGGAGGAACCCAGGGCCCTCCCCAGGATTTCTTCTGGTCCCCTAGAATGGCAGTGCGGTGGGGCTTAGGTTCCGGGGGTCCTCAGCCTCTAGGCCCTGCTTCTGCATTTCTCTCTGTGCCACCCTGTGATAACCCAGGTGCAGCGTCTATCCCTCCCTCTCTTCCCATTCTGGAGCGGAGAGCAGGTGGGGGCCTTCACTGCACCGTGGATAGGGAAACAGCTTCTCCTGGAACACAGCACGTTCAGGTTCTTCACATGCCCTTCAGTCAGTCGCTTCACTGGGGACTTTGGCCTCCCCACTGCACAGTGCCAAAGTCCCAGCCGCCGCCTCTCACAGCCCTGGCCCTGCCACCCCTCTCTCCCCCTCACCCCTGCTCTCCCTGCTGTGTTCTCCAGACTCCTCTCCCTTTGTTCAGGCAGCCCATGGGGCCTCCCATCTCCTCTGCCGACTCCTCTAGACCCCTCTCTGCACATCCAACCCAGCCGGGTGCTCGCAGGGCAAAATGATCTTCATGGAAGCCACCTTCTTAGACAGCAGTCTTGGTTATAAAAAATAAAGGCAGGGGCTGCGCGCGGTGTCCCACGCCTGTAATCCCAGCTACTCGGGAGGCTGAGGCAGGAGAATCGCTTGAATCTGGGAGGCGGAGATTACAGTGAGCCAAGATCGCGCCACTGCACTCCAGCCTGGGCAACAGAGAGAGACTCTGTCTCAATGAAGAAATAAATAAAGGCAAGGAGGACACGCGTGGAGTGAGCTGCCTCCCCATCCCTGCTTTCGATCCTTATGGGCAGCCTGCCCTTAAGAAGTGCACGCGGGCCGTGTGGTAAAACCAATTCTTGTGTTGTGCTCTGCGAAGACCATTTGGGAAAAAAATATTGCTCTGAGGGGCTCGATGCAAACTCAGGGAGAGGAGCGATTTAGGGAAAACAAATAAGCAACTCAGGTTTTGCCCCCACTGACAACTCACTATGTGACCTCCTTACCTCAGGGGCCTGGACTTTCCAGTCACCTGTGATATGGGAAAGGGGGGTGGGATCGAACCAAGCGGCCTCCCAGGGCCCTTCTGGCTGTCACTTCCTGGAGAAGCCCTGGGAGGAATGACAAGCCCCATGTCCCCCTCAGCCAAGTCACTGCCCTACCACTGCGGCTTGTAGCAGCCGGGCAGCCCCTGCCCTCGGAAAGTGTGCGTGAAGCCAGATGCAGGCAGAGAGGCTGGGACCCTCGCTAGGCAGAGGAGCGTGGCCTGAGCTGGGGGCCTGCATTGCACATGAGGAAGGCCTGGGAGGGAGAAGTGGGTCCCGTTTCCTGGCCCAACCACCGACTGTGACTTTGAACAGCTAGCTTCCTCTCTCTGAGTCGTGGTTTCTTATCTGATAAGAGGGAGTGCCTGGCTTTGAGATAGGGGCTGGGCCATGGGTTGGCCTGGCCAAGACTCAAAAAAGGAGCCTTTAAAGGCTTAGCCAGCCTCTGAACTCTACCCTACACACAACGAAATCAGCATTAAGAAAGGAAGAGAAATATTACAGCGCAGGAGCCTCACAGCCCAGAGGGAAGCGATGGGAATTGCTCACAGCACCCTGGTCAGCAGCCTGGTTCATTCAGCGGACACCGCCTTGGATCTTATCAGTGCCAGCCCTGGACAAGGCCGCACAACCAATCCTGGTCACACCCGACCTGGCCACATCCCCTCCTGCCCCCTGTGGTGTTTCCATTAGGTTCTGATCCCACCCCTAGCCTCCACCAGGGCAACACCCCCAAAGAGCTCCGTCATCTCAGACCACGCAGCCACCTGACTACCCCATCGACCTTGGGTTTTGAGTGAACGAATGACTGCTGTCAATAATGAGTGTTTATCGGGTGCCAGCCCAGAGTTATGCACTGAGTGTGGTGGGCGCTGTGATGCCCATCCCAGGTCACCCTTTGGTGAAAGACTTGCTGCCCCGGCTGCTAGGAGGGTGGCCGTTTAGCCGTGCGCCCTTTCAGGGGTAGCTTCAGTGGCAGGGAGTCACCTTTCCCAGGATCTCACCTCTTCCCAGGCAACCAGCTTCAGTGACTGAAGGATGCAACAGCAGAAAGGCCTGACACCGTTGGCCCAAGGGGGACTCTGAAGAGCAGTTCTGGCTCCAGAACCCCTGTGGGGCTGGCTGAGGCTGCCCTCGGGCCCATATCCCAGCCTGGCCTCACCCTGCCCAGTCCTGCTTCCTGTCCCCCTATCCACAGGAGGCCCCACCCCCTCAGAACCTGCTTCCCACGCCCAATAGAGACTCGGCCCTTATGCCACTCAAGAGTGCTCAGCCTAGCTGGAAATAGAAACAACAGCAATAGCAGTAATAATAAATACCATTTACTCTACTAACTACTTCCTACATTCACTCCACTGTCTCCCATTGGCCAGGCAGCATGCAATACATTTTATATTTTCTTTTTAAAATGGTTTAATGTATTTTTTTGTAGAAACGGGGTTTCGTTTTGCCACGTCTCCCAGGCTGGTCTCGTACTCCTGGGCTCAAGCCATCCTCCTGCCTTGGCTTTCCAAAGTGTTGGGATTACAGGCGCGAGCCACTGTGCCTGGCCTTCAATGCATTTTACATCCATTGTCTCTGTATAACTGAGAGTTAGGCCTCTCTCAGTTGAAATAGCCAGAAATCCAATCGAAACAGCTTAAGTAAAACAGAGAATATATTGGTCCAGGTAACTGGAAAGTCTAGTAAGTCCAGTAGACTTCGTGCTTCAGCTGCTGGGGGAACCAAGTGTGGCCACAGGGTCGAGAGTCCACGTCTCCCTCCTGGCAGCTCTGATTCCACGGTGCTGGCTTCAATCTCAGACACAGTATCTCCATTTGGTGTCTGTGTTCATTTCCTGCAGCTGCTGTAACAAATCACCATGAACTAGTGTAGCTTAACACAGCAGAAAGTGATTCTCTCCCAGTTGTGCAGGCTGGAAGTCTGAAGCCAGGATGTGGGTAGGGTGTTTCGAGGCTCTAAGGAGGAGGCTGTCCCCTCCCTCTCTCCAGGCTCCTGGGTGGTGCCAGCCATGCTTGGCATCCCTCAGCTTGTAGCTGCCGCGCTCCCATCTCTGCTGCTGTCATCACTCGGCCTTTTCCCTGTGTGTGTCTGTGTCTCGATTTCTCTCTTCTTAGAAGGACACAAGGCATTGGACACAAGCCACAAGCCACCCTGATCCAGGATGGCTTCATCTTCACTTGCCTACATCTGCAAAGACCCTTTTTCCAAACAAGGCCACCTCCAAAGGTGCAGGGGATTAGAATTTGAACATATCTTTTTGGGGTACACACTTCAACCCACAGCAGTGGCTAAAGGCTTCAGCTTTCCTTCTATCTACCTAGTGACTCCAGTGGGAAAGAAAGCTTCAATAACTCCAGCTAACACCCCAAGTGTGTTCCCACCAGCCTGTTTTGACTCACAAGTTCATCCCCGGGAATCTGACTCTGTGGCTGGGGCGAGGGAATATTCTCATTGGCCAGCTCTCAGTCATGATCTTATGCTGGAACCAGGAAGTGAGGTCAGCCACCCCTGGACCACATACCCAACAGAAAATCCAGGCGACATCACCAAAAGAAAGGGGAAAGGATGCTGGGAAGGGGAAAGATGCTGGGAAGGTCAAAAGAACAGATTCCACTCAACCATCAGCACCCCCAGGCACCTACAGTGTGGGCCTGATTTCCATTTACTGAAGGTTGACAAAGTTAATGACTTGCAACCAGCTAATGGGATTGGAACTGAGCTGAGACTCTAACTCGGGCCTATCTGGCTGCAAAACTAGGCTCTTTCCCCAACAGGAATTCAGAGGGTGGTGTCCCTTGCAATGGAGGAGGTGGGACTTGGGCTGTGCCTTGAGCATAGGGAAAGGGAAGACCGCCCTGGGAAGGAGAGGCCTGGAGTCTGCAGAGCCCACGGCCTTCGGCTCGAGGCAGAGGATTCTCCTGAGGGAGGGATGAGAATAAGGTCCACTGTGCAAGGCCTCAGGTGTCTTCTGTTTTCCATGGACAATGGGGAGTCACTGAAGACTCATGAGCTGGAGAGACTCTGCCATCGATCAGCTCACAGTGCTTGGTGTAAGTGGTCCTCCGGGAATCAGCAGCTGCAAAGGTGTGAAGCGTTGATTGGGCGGGGAGACGCTGACAGGGAGGAGACTGTGGCCACAGTCAGGTGAGCGGTGATAAGGCCTGAGTGGGGCAGGAGAGGAAGGCCCTGGCACCTCCACCCACCCCACCCAACAAGCCCCAGGTCCCGATCTAACTCCACCCACCCCACCCCAGTGGTACCCAGGGTCCAAGACCAGCTGGGACTTTCCTCACACTCAAAAACCCCTCTCAGCAAACCATTCTCATGATCAGTGTATGAGCCAGCCTTGAGTGGCAGGTCATCACGTCCTGGCTAGTCACATTCTGCTACCACCAAAAGAAACTTCCCCAGCCAAGAGGGCAAGTGAGGCCAGACATGGGGCCAGCTTCTCTGCTGCCTGTGATTCAGGGAATAGGGACAGGGACTGGGAGAGGGGCTGCGGTGCCCCAGGGACCCAGCGGGTGGGCTCCTCTGCGTGCTGTCTGCAGTGATGAATGCCCACCCACTGGAAGGCCCACAACTGAGGATGGAAGCCCACGGGCTGCTGGGGAAACATCCCGGAGGCTGAGAAGGGTCTGGGAAAGGGAGGGGGTGAGGGGCCACTCCCTTCAGAGCCCAGATTGGAATTTCCCACCTAACAGGTGGGTAAGAATTGGGGGCTCTGTGAGTCTTTCAAAGATGAGGCAGAGGCTTGCAGGACAGGAAGGAGATTCCCATCGTCCCCTGAGCGGAGCCAGGCAGCGGTGCCCTGGTGAAGTGTGTGTGTCTGCACACGCATACACACATGGGGGGTGAGGGCTCAGGGCGCCATTCTCTGGTGATACCTATGTCCGTGAAGGGGGTCTCAGGCCACAGTT
The DNA here is from genome assembly GCF_000001405.40 of Homo sapiens. Classification (NCBI taxonomy): domain Eukaryota; kingdom Metazoa; phylum Chordata; class Mammalia; order Primates; family Hominidae; genus Homo; species Homo sapiens. Next base: position 28,363,331 of record NC_000002.12, on the reverse strand, counting down.
AGAACCATGCTACTCCCCCTGGGTCCTGGAGGAGATGGAATGAGACCTTTCCCTGCTGGGCCCCCAGATCTTTCAGGCGAGCGTGGAAGGCCCTGCTCACCTTTCCCGTGCCTGTGGCTGCTGAGAGAAGGGGAAGCCGGTGAGAGGAAGTGCAGGCAGCTCTGGGATTTCTCAGTGAGCATTCCCGGCCCTGCCCCTGGGGCACTTGCTGCCGTAGCTGCGGGGAAGCGCCTGGAAGGGGCTTGCTGTCTGCAGCTGAGGGAAGGCCCTCATTGACTCAGTGGCTTGGCTTTTTCCTAGTTTTCCCCTGGTGCTGAAAGCGAAGAGTGTCCTTCTCCTGGGATAGCTGAAGGTATCGCTCTGAGGGCTCTCAGGCTCTCCAGGACCACAGGCTTCCGCAGGGTCTGGAGATGGGGAGTGGGATGGGAAGAAGAGCAGACCCCATTTCTCAGGAGTTGATTAAAAAGGCGGACAGGGTGAGGTGAGGGGGAGGCTACTCATTGCATTGTTTAATGTCATTCATAAAGTTTGAACCAAAAAAAAATCTTCTATTCCGCTGGAAAGCTGTTATGCTTCCTTTCATCAGAAAAGGAGAATTGATACCAGCAACCTTTATGTTTTGGATGAGACGCCGGGAGGTTGTATTCAGGTGAGGCTTGCTTGGCTCAGATTCTGGGACACTCTCTCCTCTGCAGCCTAGGCTTGTGTTCTTTTAATCTGAATTTAAAGGCCTGTTATCATTGCATTTCCACTGTGAGTCATCTCAACTCTTTCAGAAACAGGCAGGATAGAATTCACGAATGAATGAATGAATGAATGAATGGATGAATGATAGCAATTATGGAGTACTTACTACGTGGCAGGCCCTGTTCTAAGCACTTTACAGTATGGGCTTATTTAAGCCTCCCAGTGACCTGATGAGGAAGATATTATTTGTATCCCCATTTTACAGCCAGGGAACTAGAGCAGGCAGGGAATAAAAGCAGCTGGTGGGTGGTGGAGCCAGGCAGGCTGGCTCCCGCATCCTCCTTCCTACTGGCCACGCTATGCTGCCCCTGAGAATGATTGAATGAGAAAAGCTCATTCATCACGCGTGGAGGAGGAGGATGGATGAGGGGCAGGGTGGTGACCTGGTGCTGGAGCTGGAGGGTCAGTGTCGATGCCAGCAGTGATGGCAGCCGGGACTATGGAGACGGGGCTGGTGAAGAGTCCTTCCCGCCTGGCTGTGTCCAGCTGTCCCATGAGAGGGTTCCTTCAGGGAAGACATGAGACAGCTGCTTGCCCTCTCTTGGCCTCCCTCTACTCACTTGGGAGATGGTTAGTGGGATTCAGGGATTTGGGGGGCCTTGCAGCTTAGACACCCATGGCTTTTTTTCCCCCCTCTCTTAGAGACATGGTCTTGCTCTGTTACCCAGGCCGGAATGCAGTGTTGTGATCTTAGCTCATGGCAGCCTTGACCTCCTGGCCTCAAGTGATCCTCCCACCTCAGCCTCCTGAGTAGCTGGGACTACAGCCGCACATCACCACATCTGGCTAATTTTTGTATTTTTTGTAGAGACAGGGTTTCGCCACATTACCCAGGCTGGTCCCGAACTCCTGGGCTCAAGCAGTCCATCCTCTTTGGCCTCCCAAAGTGCTGGGATTAGAGGCATGAGCCACCGCCCAGCCAGACTTACAGCTCTTCTTTCTGATCAGAGTTGGGCAGCTGAGCCCCAGCGGGACCTGAAAGGATGGGAAGTCCTTGGGGCTAGGAGAGGGGCACAAGCCTCAAGCCCATGCCCAGCCCGGACCACCCTGTCCTTTCTGAGAACAGCTGAGGTAGAACCTGGTTCTCAGAGCTGGGAAGGAATCCAGAGACCATCTGACCTGAACTTCCATTGTACAGACAAGAACACTGAGGCTCGGGGAAGGGAAGAGACACTCCCAGGGCCCCAGGACTGATCCTGCCTCACAGCGAGCCCTTCCCACTGTCCATTGCTCTTTCGTGAAAGCCCCAGTAACCAGGCAAGAGGGTGGGCCAGTTCTGGGTTACAGGCAAAAGGAATCTTGGAGCATCTGGCTGGGCCAGTGGGATCTCTGGCTTGTCCCTTGGGGCTTTGTGTCATCCTGGGCCACGAGTCAGAAAAGCATCACTGGGACACCAACCCCAGGGCACCATGGCTTTTGGGGTCAGTTGTTGATGACAAATCCTCACGCGTAAGGTGCTGAGTCAGCCCTGGGAAAGGGGCAGGAGAGGCTGTCTCTGCTTGGCAGCTTTCCCTGGCCCCTGACTCCCGTGACCCTCTCCCAGCTCCACCCCTCCTCCCCACAGTGCTTCTCAGCCCCAGGCTTGCCCTCTGCTTGTAGCTGGTGGTGTCTTGAAAAAGGACCTGATGCTTCAGTATTAGGATGATAGCGGTAGAGACAGGCGAGAGAAAACTCCACAGCGAGAGACCAAGCTTCGAGCGTCCGTGCTGCCACCTGCTCCCCGCTGTGTGGTCTTGGACCAGTCCTTTCAGCTTCCTCCTCTGTAAAGCACAGGCCTGGTGGTGGCTGTCTGGAAGACCCTCTGCCTTCTAACACTTGGGGATTGTGAAGTACGGCCTCTCTCATGGTGTCTTTGTGTTATAAAGAAAAAGAACTGAAAAGAGGAGCCATAGCCCAAAAAGCTGTGACTCCACTGAAGAAATGCGGGTTCCAGGAGGCCTGTGGGAGGAATTGGGCTGAGGGTGTTTTGGTTGGGCAACCCCGCCTGCATTGCGTCCTCCCACCTCCTGCCTGAAACAGCAGTTCCGGCAGGCAGGCCCTCAGGGGCATCAAAGCTGAGCTGCGGCCCCACCCTGAGGCAGAGGGCCTGGGGCCTGGGGCGGGTGAGGACATATGGACAATGTGGGCACCACACCTGCCCCTACACTGCCACCCAGGCACACCCAGACACAGGGGACTTCCTTTAGGAACCCCCCAAACTCATGCCACCCTAGAGTGGGGGCTTGGAGACCCTGAGATTCCTGAGAAAAGTGAAGCCCCATTGGACCTCCCTAGACAGCTCTCTCTGCCCTCGTTTAAGCTGCCGACTGGCCCCCGCTCCACAGAAGGTGCCACCCACCTGCCTGCCACTCCCATCCACTCCCATGAGACGGAGCTCCCGCCTCAGCCAGCCCATCAAGACCAGTGTCTGGGCCCACGCTTTGGGGCCAGTTTCTCCAGGGAACCCTGCTCAAAGCATTGACAGAGTAAGAGAACGGTATCGAAGAATAAGCTTTACCTTACTTACGTAATCTCTCACCTCGAAGGCAGGGAGTTTGGCAGGTGAAGAAACTGAGGGCTGCGGGGGGTGGGGCTTCCTGGGTCACAGTTAGCAGGTGGGAATCGGGGCTTGAAACCGGGACCCTGCACACAGGCCTCAGGCTGGACGGCACCCAGCATGTGGGTGAAGAAGCTCCATGGTCTGGAGGCGAAAGCACAGGCCGGAGCCCCAGCAGCCTCCCCTCCCTCCTCTGTGTGCAGGCTGCGTCTGCCTCGCAGGGTCCCGTCTTATGGGACGGTGGTGAGGAGGTGACAGGGCTACAGAGACACATGGTCAGGATGCGTTATCGATATTATTATTCTTGCCACTATTATTGTGCCCGCCATGGCAAACGTGACTTTGCATGCCTCAGGTGCCAAGCCCGAGACCTCGTGAGACACCAGCAGAGACTGCCCCACCCAGCAGGTGACAAGTCTCTCACAGCACCCCAGGAAGCCGCCCTCTGGCCTCTGACGTCCGTCCTCTCCGGGGGCCTCTCCTTCCTTGTGGTTCCGTGTTAAAAAATCTCCCTCTGTCTTCCCCCTGACCCTCTGACCACAATGGCCTGGGCTCCCTGTCCCTCTGTGTGCATGGTGACTTTTGCTGAAAAGCAAACATCACTGGGGCGCCCAGCCTCGTGGTTTCAGGCTGTGCGGTTTACCTCATGACGTCATTTTCCTTCCTCCAGATAAACCAGAAGAGACTTTACTGCTCAGCTGGTCCTGGGGAAATGGTGCCTGCCCTGACTCGTGGAAGGTTCAGGGTGGGCATCTGGGCCGTAGCCAGGGCCGAGAAGAGGTCCCCAGGCTTAGCCAAGGCTCACAGTGACCTGTGTCTAAAGGAACGTTTCTGGCTCCTACTTTGTTAGCATAGACTCAGACAGCCCAGGGGCTGGGGCTCCCAAGGTGCAGAGGAAGGGTAGGGGGCCACAGCAGCCAGAGGCTTGTCCTGAAGCCCCTGACTGCCACCCCCAGCCACCAGAAAGGGTGGACCTTCTGGACCTTTGTGGCAGACCACCAGGCCCTGAGCCACCACCCACACAGGGAAGGAAGACAGTGGCAGCCCAGCCTGGAGAAACCGCCCCGTCCCCAGACCGGGTTGTCCCTTCTCCACGTCTCCTGTGCTGCCAGCCAGGTAGGGGACAGGGTTTCCCAGGGGCAGGCACAGGGGAAGGGGCCACCACCTCTCCTGAATGCCCACCCCTGCCCAAGCTCTGTGCTTTATGGTCTCTTTGACTGTCCTCACAGCCCTTTGAAGTCAATCTTTTATAGACTACTCTGTTTCCAGATGACAGGCCCAAGTCTCAGAGAGGTTTGGGACTCGCCTAAGATTGCAGCTAGCAATGGGCCTGGCACGCAGTTGGTACTCGGGAATGTTTGTTTCCCAGAAAGGAAGGGAGATGCTACCTTTCCTCCGAGAAGCAACCAGAAGTCTCCAGGCTTGCAAGACAGTTTCCCTCCTGAGGACAGCTGGAGCCGTGACAACGTGGGGCCCTGACTGGGCTGCGCCTCCTCTCTGAGGTGGCTGATGCATTCTGCTCCCTCGGGAGCTTGGATATCAGGCTGCGGTCTGGGGTCTGGAGTGGCCACAGCAACACAGAGTCATCTCTGTTCAGATCTGGCCACTGCTGGGGAAAGCCCTGGCCCTTCTACCTTCCCTGTGGGGTCCCCTTTCCTTCCACCTGCACCAGGTTCTCATGGGCTCTCTACCCATGCCCAGCAGGCTCCCTCTGCAGGGCACTGGGGCGGGGTCGGGGTCGGCGGGGCGGGGGAGTAGGAGTGGGCGGGAGGGCAGAGAAGACTGAGACAGAAGACATGTTCCTGTCTTCAGAAAATCAACGCTCTTTTCAGGACTCACCATAGGAACGATGACCACTGCCACCATCACCACGGTGCGGAATAATCACTGCACATCCTGAGCCCCAGCCTAAGCAGGTCCCACAGATGTCTCATTTTAATCCTCTTCCACTTTAATCCTTGTTAAAAAACAACCTGTGAGGTGGGTGCGGTGGCTCACGCCTGTAATCTCAGCACTTTGGGAGGCCAAGGCAGGTGGATCACTTGAGGTCAGGAGTTCGAAACCAGCCTGGCCCACATGGTGAAACCCTGTCTCTACTAAAAATACAAAAATTAGCTGGGTGTGGTGGTGGGCGCCTGTAATCCCAACTACTCTGGAAGATGAGGCAGGAGAATCACTTGAACCTGGAAGGCAGAGGTTGCAGTGAGCCGAGATCACACCAAGAGCAAAACTCTGTCTCAAAAAAAAAAAAAAAAAAAAAAAGCTGGGCACGGTGGCTCACTCTGTAATCCCAGCACTTTGAGAGGCCGAGTCAGTTGGATCACAAGGTCAGGAGATCGAGACCATCCTGGCCAACATGGTGAAACTCTATCTCTACTCAATTACAAAAAATTAGCCGGGCATGGTGGCAGGTGCCTGTAATCCCAGCTACTTGGGAGGCTGAGGCAGGGGAATTGATTGAACCTGGGAGGCGGAGGTTGCAGTGAGCCAAGATCGCGCCACTGCACTCCAGCCTGGGTGACAGAGTGAGACTCCATCTCAAAAAAAAAAAAAAAAAAAAGCCCAATAAAACAATAAGAAAAACAACCTGTGAAGTGGCTATTATTTTTCCCATTCTACAGATGAGCAACTGAGCTTCAGTTTCCTGTCCATCATCGCCCAGCTAGGAAGTGGCGGAGCTGGGAGTGGACTCTGGGATGCTCAGGCTGTAGGACCTGTGGTCCATAGCGTGCACTGTGCCTCAGACCTGAGGCAGAAGGATGCACCTTCCAGAAAGACGTGCTGTGCACATGCAGAGCATGAGATGCTGGGAGCCAGGGCCCTGTGAAGGGCCTGAACCTTGAGGACAGGCAGGAACTAGACTGGCAGGGGGAGGCACGGGCACTCCCAAGACACAGACTGGCCTGAGCCCAGTTTCAAGGGAAGGAGCCATGATGCCTGTGTGAGGGCAGCAAACTGTTCTATGGGGCCAGAGCCCAGGGCCTGGGGAGGGAGATCAAAGCCAGACCAGAGCAAAGCTGGTGCTAGGTGATAGTCTGCTGCCCACCCTCCCTTCCCGCTGTTCAGGCCTGGGCCCCACTCAGAAGTCTGTGTCCTCAGGGTCAAAGGCCCATCCAGGGTGGTGCCACCCTCCTCCACTTGAAGCCACTCTCTCCCATCTCTCCCTGTGGCCCAGATGCCTGCCAGGGTCAGCTGTTGGGACTTAGCCGTTCCAGGGAGGGAGGCCTGGGCAGCTCGGAGCCAGTGGGTTTGTGGGTTGAGCCAGAGGGCTGGAGAATGATCCCAGCTGATAGGGCCCACGTGGGTGGTCTCTGGGAGAGCCTGGGAGGGAACCAGGCAGGGCGGCTCTGTCCTTGGCCTGGGCTCCCAGAGCTCAGCTAGACTGTTCCTGGACAGGCTGTGCCAGCTGCAGGGCCTCCAGACCCCAGACTCTATCCCCGAGTCATCCATCGACACCAGGAGTCACTCCTAGGTAGACACAGCTGCCTGCTCGGAGCCCTGTGCAGCTCCCTCTGCCCCCAGTCCCCAGCCACCCTCTCCTCTCAGCAGCCTGTCCTCTGCTCCTCCATCCTCAGGAGCTGAGCCTCAGTGAAGTGGCTGCTAGGTGCTCCAGAGTGAAGGCAGGACAGGACTCTGAGCTGGACTGCCAGGCCCAAGGTGACTTGGAGGTGGGGAAGAGGCACGGCCACAGGCAGTGAGCCCTGAGCCAGAGGCGGCAGGGACAGTGTCTGAACCCAGCACTCCCTTCCTCACGCCCCTGGCAGGAGGCCCAGGCGCAGCGCCAGCCTCACAGGCTGATTCGTGACTGAGAAGCTGCCTCGTGGGCCCTGCTCTGGGTGGGAGGGGCCTGGGAAAGTCAAGTCTCTGGGCCTTCGCTGCTCTGTGGGGCCTGCCCAGGCTGTGTGTGGCTGCTGGGAGGCACCGAAAAGCCGTTTTCTTCATTAAGCATCTGTGTGGAGATGGAAGGAACCAACAGGGATGCCTCTCCAATCATACAGACTTGGGCCAGCCACCACCTCCTCAGTTCTTCACAATTCTCCTTGCTCTCCCTCCTGTTGTGGTCATTAATTTGGGAGGCTCTGGAGGGGGTGGGTGGCATTGTTCCCTGCCATCCTGCTGTCCAGAGCCCAGTTCCATCCCCGGCTCTGGAACCCTAGAAGATGCGAGGCCCCCAGGACACCATTGCCATCCTCAGTGGGCTGGGTGAGGCCTGCTCCGGGCCCACTCACAGGCCAAGCTTGAGTGACACAGGAGCCAGAGATGGGGCTACTGCAGTCCCCAGGCAACCTTATCTACAGTGGCAGCTGTGGCCACAGTAACCTCTCCAGTTGGGCAGGACGGTGAGGTCAGCCATCAACAGCCAGCCTGACCTTTCTGGAAGCCAGCCAGCCAGCCATGTCTGCTGCATCCAGGCAGGACTGCAGCTTAAGCTCTGCTCTTGGAGAGCTGGTTGCCCAGGCAGACCCATCCGTAGACACAGCTCTCTGCTTCAATGTCCCAGCCTGGGAGTCCGAGAAGGGGGCCTGGTCTGTGCCTCTCATCAGCTCCCGAGCACCAAGCTCGCAACCAGCCAAGTGTCCATTTTTAAGTGTTCCCGCCTGTAAATGAGGGCCTGGGACGGACTAATGCAGAGTGGGTAGTGCAAGGAGAACTGATGGGGACAAAAGGGTGGCCTGGCCTCCAGCCAGGGCTACTGGAGTGGGCAGGGCAAGAGATGATGGCAGCTTGAAGGAGGGGGGTGTGGGCAGAGGGAATGGGGCAAGGTAGGTGGATCTGAGAGAGATTTTGGGGTGAGAATAAACAGGACCGGTGACTGGATGTGAGGATTAGACAGTGGGGAGTTCTGTCTTGCACAACCTGGGGCGCCATGGCCTGAGCTGGAAGCCTGAGGCTCCCAACCTGCTGAGCGACTTGCCACGGGCTGATGCCCCCTGGGCCCGTGCTCTCATCCCTCAACTTCCAAGGGATCCCTGATCCCATTGACTTCCAAGGTGGGAACGAGTGAGGTCTCATCCTCTCTGCTCCAACCACCCTGCAAGTTTGGTGCTCTGGGAACTCATGTGTTCCTGTCTCCACTTGTAACTAAAACCATGAAAACTTGAAACACACAAAAGAAGAAGGGACTATCATGGCCCTGAGAGCCCATCACTCAGCTTCAAGGCTCATTGTCATCTTACCTTTTTTATTTCTTTTTTCTTTTTGAGACAGAGTCTCACTCTGTTGCCCAGGCTGGAGTGCAGTGGCATGATCATGGCTCACTGCCACCTTGACCTTCTGGGCTCAAGCGATCCTCCCACTTCAGCCTCCCGAGTAACTGGGACTAAAGATGTGTGCCTCCACGCTTGGCTAATTTTTTTATTTTTTGTAGAGATGAGGTCTCCATATGTTGCCCTGGCTGGTCTTGAATTCCTGAACCCAAGTAATCCTCCTGCCTCGGCCTCCCAAAATGCTGGGATTACAGGTGTAAGCCACCACAACTGGCCCTTCTTTACTTCTTAGCTAACTTAAAAAAATTTTGGTATTTTATAACAGTGCCAGACACTATATTATTTTATCCATAAATACTTTAGTTTTTATGTCCAACAGAATGAGGGATTCGTTTTTTTTTTTAACATAACTATAATGCCAAGTCTTAGCAAATGTTAATAAAGTTAACAATTTCTTTTTAAAAAAATTTCAACTTTTGGCCATGCGCGGTGGCTCACACCTGAATCCCAGCACTTTGGGAGGCTGAGGGGGTGTGGATCACTGGAGGTCAGGAGTTCGAGACCAGCCTGGCCAACATAGTGAAAACCCATCTCTACTAAATATATATATATACACAAAAATTAGCTGGGCGTGGTGGCGCGTGCCTGTAATCCCAGCTACTCGGGAGGCTGAGGCAGGAAAATTGCTTGAACTCAAGAGGTGGAAGTTGCAGTGAGCTGAGATCATGCCACTGCACTCCAGCCTGGGTGACAGAGCAAGACTCCATCTCAGAAAAAAAAAAAAATCAATTTTTATTATAAAGGGTACACCTGCAGATTTGTTACATGGGCAAATTGCATGACACTGAGGCTTGGGGTCCCAGGGACCCTGTCGCCCAGACCGTAAGCATAGTACCCAACAGGTGATTCTTCAGCCCACACCCCCCTCCCTCCCTTCCCAGTCCAGTGATCCCCAGTGTCTACTGTTCCCATCTTTATGATCATGTGTATTTAACATTTAGCTCCCACTTATAAGTGAGAACGTGGTATTTGGTTTTCTGTTCTTGCATTAGGTTGCTTGGGATTATGGCCTCTAGCTCTATCTATATTGTTGCAAAGGACATGATTTCATTCTTTTTATGGCTGCATAGTATTCCATGGTACAACAATTTCTTAATATCATATAAAACCCAGTTCAGGCCAGGCGTGGTGGCTCACACCTGTAATCCCAGCACTTTGGGAGGCCTAGGCGGGTGGATCATTTGAGGTCAGGAGTTCAAGACCAGCCTAGCTAACATGGTGAAACCCCATCTCTACTAAAAATACAAAAATTAGCCGGGTGATAATGGTGCGAGCCTGTAATCCCAGGAGGCTGAGGCAAGAGAATCACTTGAACCCAGGAGGCGAGGTTGCGGTGAGCTGAGGTCATGCCACTGCACTCCATTCTGGGCAACAGAGTGAGACCCTGTCCCCCCCGCACCCCCTCCAAAAAAAAAAAAAAACCCAGTTCAGGTTCCCACTTCCCTGGTGGTCTCATCCTTCTAGGAGCAGCAGGGACTTGGTTTCTAGGCATGGGGAGATTGAGCAATCTATTCCTATGGTGCTTAGCCATGTGCCAGAGGCTGGGCTGAATAGGCGACAGGGACAGGCCCTGCCCCAGAGGAGTGCTCAGGTCACTACCACTGGCCGCTGCACGGAGAAGAGTCTTCTTCCTCCACCAACCTGGAGTCCAGGAAGACATAAAATCTCCTGCCTCCCCAGCCTTCCCAGGAGAAACTCAATGGGGCGATGAGGCCCTCTAATGGGGTCCGCACCTCCCTCCAGCCCCTTTTTCTGTTTGCCCTTCTCCGCGCACCCTGTGTGCCAGCCAGCTGGCGTGACCAGGCCTGACCGCTGGCCCAGAACACCCCTTCTTCTCCCTCCCTTCTGGGTCCTGCTCCAAACCTCGTCTGTGCAGCTCCCGCTGACCGGCCAGGGTTATTCAGGTGTCCCCAGCCTACCCCTACCCCCCACCATCCTGCTGTGACGACTGCTCAGTGTGTCTGGGAGTTTCCAAAGGGCAGGACAGTGTCTGCTGCATTCTTGTGTCCCTAGTGGTTCACACATAGCCCTCCGTGTCAAGGAGGTGCTGTGTTTGCCGTATGACTGTGGCGTGCAAGTAAAGGCAAGAATAAGTGGGGGAACAGGGAGACGATTGGCAGGGTGGGAGAATGGGTGAATGCTGTCTCCAAGTTCTCTGTCCATCTTCAGAAGCTGGGAAACAGATGGAGCCAGTGAAAGTGTTGGGGACACTTCTCTGCCTTGGGGAAGACGTCTCCCACCCCTTCCCAACAGCAAAGGCCTGCCGCTCTGGTGTCCCCTGTCCCTGGGCTCTCTTCCCTGCTGGCCTGTCTGCACCCCCAGGGCAGTTTCCCTCCCCAGGGCAGGCTGGGAACAGCCGTAGGGAGCACAGCTCACGCCCAGACCCTGTGCCTGCTGGTGGGGTCTGTTTGCACAGGGTCATCTGGTTTCAATCCAGTGAAGTCTTAAAACTTTTCCATGGGAACTTCTTCTATTTTAAGCTCCTCCCGGATGGGCTGGACAAACTCAGCCTGAGGAGGCTGTGAGTTCCTGGGCTGCTGCTGGTGGCCTCACCACCCCCAACTGGTCCCCAACAGACAGGAGCAGGTAAGGCTTGGGGCTCAAGGACTCCGGCCCAGCTCCAACCGTTACCCATCAGAGGATCTTGAGCAAGTTTCTGCTTTCTGGGCCTCAGTTTCCTCATCTGTACAGCCTAGGGTTAGTAACAGGGAGCCAAACTGCCGGAGTTCAAATCTGGCACCACCCCTGAGTTAACTGTGTGACTTTGGCAAGGCTACTTAACCTCCCTGGGCTTCAGCTATAACATGAAATAAGTTGAGTTGCTGGGATTACATGAACTGGTGCCTGTGAGTACACAGCACAGTGCTGGGGATATGTGGAAGCCTGTATACTCAGTGCTGGTTGTTACAGATCTATTTCTTAGCGGAAACCCATGGTCGTATGTGTTTCAGAATGTCTGCTTCTGGAGTTTTAAAAAGGTAATATGCATATTCCAATGTCATGTATAACCCAGTGAGATCTGGGGAAACACCCCATGCTCAAACACATTACGGTTTCCTCATTGAAATGTGAATCTTTACTCAAAGTGAGAGAAAAAAAGGACTTAGGTTAGGCTAGGTTTTGCTAAATAAGGTATGGAAAAGCCAGCCGGGCACGGTGGCTCACGCCAGTAATCCCAGCACTTTGGAAGGCCGAGGCGGGCGGATCACGAGGTCAGGAGTTTGAGACCAGCCTGACCAACGTAGTGAAACCCTGTCTCTACTAAAAATACACCAAATTAGCCAGGCGTGGTGGCGGGCACCTGTAATCCCAGCTACTCAGGAGGCTGAGGCAGGAGAATCGCTTGAACCCGGGAGGCAGAGGTTGCAGTGATTCGAGATTGTGCCACTGCACTCCAGCCTGGGCGACAGTGCGAGACTCCATCTCAAAAAAAAAAAAAGAAAAGAAAAAGGCTTTGGATTTTCAGAGCGTTGGGAGTTTGGAATTGTGGACAAGGGATTGGGGACTGTATTGTTATTGTAATTATGTGTTTAGGAAAAAGGGGTGGTCCCTCCTGCCAGAGGGGGCAGGTAAGCCTGCTGGGAAGAGGGCAGCCCCTCCCTGCAGGCTCAGCAACCACTGGGTAAGACTTGGCCCTGTAGATGGAAACCTTGTATGCAACAAAAGGCATCCCTTCCTCTGGGCAGGCAGTACCACATCGGCAAACCACACAGCCTAACAGGGCGGCCCTGCAGGCCGACGGGCCCTGGTGGGCTGACATCACCCTCACCGGTGTGGACACTCTGAAGGCCCACCTGCGTCTGAGCGGTCACGGGTAACGTAGCTGGCCCATCACATAGCTCTGAAAGGAGCTCCTTCAGGTCAGGACATCTGTGGCTCCCCGAGCTATACCTCCTGACCCATCTCCCTCCCCAGCCCTCCACTCTGGTCACTTGGGCCAAGGGGTGTAGGCCCAGGGCTGTGTGGGAGGAGGGAATGAGCTCGTTTCATCTTAGAATCCGAGTCAGAGTGACAAGTCTGGGCTGGATGTCCCCATGGGGTCATTTTATCTCACCCACCCCTCATCCTATGGAGAGGGGTACAGTGCCCTGAACATTAGCACAGAGCTTTAGCATTTATAAAGCCCTTCCACAGGCTGTGATGTGATATTAATAAGAGTCTCATCCCCGCTGTCCTATGTTTTATTAAAACCAGGACTCGGAGTGAAGTGAGCTGCTTGGGGTCACACTGCAGTGCGTGGTGGGGCCCAGGTCGCCTACCTACCTGTTGAGTGCTCTCCTCCGCAGACCTCACTGCCTCTGGGTCCACTACAACTCCACGGTGGCCTCCCAGGGACGCCTTCCCTGCCGGCCGCTGAGGATGCTGGGAGCAAATACCGGGCCAGAGGCAGGGATGGGAGAGGACAAGCTGGGCACAAGCCCGGGAGGGACCCGGCCCTTGGGTCCCAGGAGCTGGCGGGGATTGCGTCCTCCGCCTCCGCTGCGTCTGGCTTGCGGAATTCCCTCTTGCTGAATGCCTGAGGATTAAACACAACACCTCAGCTCATAATGAAATATAAAGAGCAAACAGGACAACAGCTGAGGTGGATGAAGGAAATTAATACTTATAAAGTGCTTTGAGCCCCTGGAAGAAAAGACAGACCAAACTCAAAGCCTCCCTCCCCTGCTCCCGTCAGCCTATCAGGCAGCCAGGGTGGCTCTGAGCCTCCTCATGGAGGAAGAGGAGGAGGAAGAGGAGGAGGAAGTGGAGGAAGCTCAGGCCCAGTATGGGTGTTGGGATCAGACTTGGGACTATCTGGTGGCCTGGGACTGCTCAGCCCTGGAAACCCAACATGGGCACCTGTCCCGGGTCTGAGCTACTCAGGAAAACACTCCCCTCCCTCTGGGGGCTTTCTGGGCTGGCTGAGGTGATGCAGGGGGTGGGCACGACTTTGGAGGCCGGTGAGTCCACCTCAAGACTTGCCCAGGGGTCAGTCCTTGGTACGGGCAGAGGACAGTCACCTCCGCCATGTCCACAGCTCATGGCATCAGCGAGGAAGGTGGGCTGGACACTGGCACAGGGACTCCCACGGACAGCCTTGTCCTGTCCCTCCTCTGCTGTGTCCTCCTGCAGCCACCTGGTCACCTCAGCTCGGCTGGGAAGGCCTTCAGAAGCCAACTCTTTCAACCATGGCCTCTCTTCTCCTCACTCCCACTCTAGGTGCAGCCTCGCAGCCTGGAGGCTCAACACGCTTCTCACTGTCTCACGGAAGGCACCCACCTCGGCCCTTCCTCCACTGAGCTGCCAGAATATTCCAGCACATTCACTTCTTTCCCCCAGCTCTGCAGTCTTTGAGGCATGAACTGACGCCATCACCACGTTCGTTTCTCCCTGTTGTTTGCTGACCAATCTTAGGTGACTCTGACCCAGGTGCGTTTCCTACAGAAAGGTACAAGTGATTATTTATGGGATAGATATATAATAGGGAAAAATCAAGAAATAATTCAAATGGCTAAAAAATAACGGAAAGGGGTAAGTGAACTATGGAGAAATATGAGATGGGTTCACCAAAGATGGCAAGATGGTAAACACTCGGGAAACAAAATAGAAAAACGAAACAAGATCCGCAATTGTTTTCCATTGTTTTTAAGCATGTTAACAATGAATAGGAAAAAGACTGGAAGGAAACCCCTTTAGTCCTCAGACCTCAGCTGGGATATCATTTCCTGCCTCAGAATAAATAAGTACAAAATATTTGTTGAACGCTGTTAAATACCTACACGCTGAGCGTGGTTCTGTCTGGAGGAGGGAGCCTGCGTCGTTTCTGGTGTCTGCTCCTTTCATAAGAGGAAAAGTTCAGGTGCGGTGGCTCACGCCTGTAATCCCAGCACTTTGGGAGGCCGAGATGGGTGGATCACCTGAGGTCAGGAGTTCTAGACCAGCCTGGCCAACATGGTGAAACCCCATCTCTACTAAAAATACAAAAAATTAGCCGAGTGTGGTGGTGGGTGCCTATAATCCCAGCTACTCTGGAGGCTGAGGTGAGAGAATCACTTGAATCCGGGAGGCGGAGGTTGCAGTGAGCCGAGATTGCACCACTGCTCTTTAGCCTGGGCAACAGAGAAAGACTCCATCTCAAAACAGACAAACAAACAAACAAAAAACAAAAAAAAAACAGAGGAAAAGTCTCTCGTGCTAGCCGTTTTGCTGGCAGTGGCATGGGCGGGTTGGAAGCCTGCTGCCCGCTGTGATACCTGCCTGGGAGCCCACCTTCCAGGTCACACCCACCTCTGTTGACCCAGGCCCCGGGTGGCAGAGCTTTTGGGCAGAACATGGCTGGCCCTTCTCAGGCACTCCGGGGGCCCTGTTCGCCTGCTTCAGGCAGCTGGATTCTCTGGGGCTGAGTGAAAGGGGAAGGCAGCCTGGCACGGGGCACCTCCTCCCCACTCTCCCCTCTGTCTAGTGGGTGGGTGCCAGGGCAGGTCCCAGAGGCTGGCTGAGGCCGGGGAGGGCAGGCAGGATGGGCGTCACTCCCGTTTCCTTTGCAGTTCGTGGTATTGTCACCACCTCCTCAGGGCACCTCCACCAGGCCCCTAACCTGACCTGGCAGCAGCGGGGGCAGTGTGTTAGGTGGTGGCAGTGGCAACCTGCTTACGTTTTCACGTGGCCATGACCTTTTACTGTCCCCAAAGCCTCCCCTCACCGTATCTGCCTTGTTCTTAGCACCAGCCTGTGAAACAGGCTTGGTATTTTACAGATGAGGAGGTCTAGGTCAGGGAAGCCACCGTCAGTGTGGTCAGGGACGGCCAGCCAGGACTCAGCTCACCGCGATCTCCTTAACCCCCACTGCTCCTTGCCTGTCACCTCAGACGTTCTGGATGCAGGGACAAGCTCCGCTGGGCAGGTTCTGGAGGGACCCAAGGCAACGCCCCGGGGCTGGGGCCTGGGGCAGGCTTCGGGAGGAGAGCTGGGGACTACCGCTTTCACTTGCCTCTTCCAGGCCTTGGCTCAGACGTCACCTCCTCAGCCAGGCCAGCCCTGCCTCTCTGGCTAAAAATGCACTCCCACCCCTCCCTGCTTTCTCTTCCCTGTGCTTGGCTCCTAACATTCCCTCTGTATATCTTGTTCATACCCCCTCTCCCCTGATGGGAATGGAAACCCCATGAGGGCAGGGGTTGTGGTGCTGTATTTACTGCTATACTGCTATAGAATGGTGCCTGGCACAGAGTAGTTGCTCAACATGACTGCATGCATGAGAACCAGACCTTGTGTGCACCTCAGCCCCATGGGAGAGTTCGCCAGAAACCGAACCACCACAATGAAGCAAAGAAACCAAGAGTCTAAAACCATGCCCAGCTGGCCCCTCCTCCAGGAAGCCCTCCAGGATTTGCTTCAGCTGAACGCCAGCAGTGTGGATCTGCAGCTCTGTTATGTGGCTTACCCCAGCCTCTCCCATCAGTGGCAGGGGTGTGCACTAGCCCCAGCTTCCTGGCCTTTCAGGCGCAGGGCTAGGCTTATCCATACAGTCCCAGTGCCAGGAACAGAGAGGATGCTCGACAGATGTCTGTCAAGTGCATAAATGGGATGCAAGTTCTGTTGCTCCCCGAAGAGTACCCACTGCTGGCACACAGAAAGAGCTTAGCCGATGTGTGTGGAATGGATGAATGGCTGCCTGGCCCAGTGCTGCTTTTCCATTCCATTTTACATCAATGCTTTGCCCGTCCTGACCTGTCAGAGCCCAGACTTGTCTGCTCACCTGTGTCCTGGTCACACTAGGCCCATCTTGGTCAAGGCCTTTTGGCTCCAGGATGACCCAACACCTCTTCCTGCAGCCTCTGCAGGCCTGGCCACCCCACCCTGGGTGTGGGACACTCCTCAGGGCCTCTGGACCACAGAAGACAATACCCTCTCCAGCCCTGGAAACCCTGCTTCTGGCTTTGGGCTGCCTGTCAGGGCGGCTCACATGTGAGCAAGCAGGCACTGCTCCAGGGGACGGACGGGTACTGGAGAGGGAGCATCTCATCTTTCAGCCGACAGCTGTGGATGGTCACACTCTGTGTTTATCCTGATTCTCCAGATAGATCACGGACAGCCCGCAGTGCAGGGGCTGGCCTGCAGCAGATCAGCAATGGGGCTGTGCCTGGCAGTCAAGACTTGAAAGAAGTCTAATGTTTATTGTATGTTTTCCAGACAGGAGAACCCCCTGGCTAATCCTGTGTTCTAGATTTGACAGAAAACATGCCCACTCTGTGGGGTAACTGGTCCTTAGTGCCCACTGGAATCCTTAGAAAACATGCCCACTCCGTGGGGTAACTGGTCCTTAGTGCCCACTGGAATCCTTAGAAAACATGCCCACTCCGTGGGGTAACTGGTCCTTAGTGCCCACTGGAATCCTTAGAAAACATGCCCACTCTGTGGGGTAACTGGTCCTTAGTGCCCACTGGAATCCTTAGAAGGCAAGTACATGAGTTATTGGTTAAAAGCGGGGAAATAAATTATTATTTAATAAATGTAACTTGGCCAAGGATGGTGGCTCATGCCTGTAATCCCAGCACTTTGGGAGGCCGAGGTGTGAGAATCGCATAGCTGAGGAGTTTAAGGCTAGCCTGGGTAACATGACAAGACCTCCGTCTATATAAAAATACAAAAATTAGCCAGGCATGGTGGTACGCACCTGTAGTCCCAGCTACTTGGGAGGTTGCGGTGGGAGGATCATTCGAGCTCAGGAGATGGAGGCTGCTGTGAACTGAGATTGTGCCACTGCACTCCAGCCTGGGTGACAGACTGAGACCCTGTCTCAAAAAAAAAAAAAAAAAAATTTAAAAAAGTAACTTAATAGACAAAACCTCTGGAAACAAGGGAATTTAGGAGCTTGACAGAAGTGACGAGTCAGGGCCCCCAGGTCGCGCTGCTTAGCACAGGCTTACAGGGGAGCTGTGGGAAGAGAGGAGGGGGAGGCGGCAGGTGGATAGCCTTGGGCAGAGGGCCTGGGAGCTCATAGAGGTGGACAGCTGGCAGAGACACTCGAAGTGGGAGTGGCTCCAGCAAGAGGACTGGACTATCGTATGGGAGAGGCCAAAAAAGATTTTGTTGTTTTCGGTCAGTTAAACGCTTAAGGACAGGGATATGGAATGGAAAGGAAGGAGTGAGAAGAGGGACCAGGAGCAACTTGTGCCAAACCTAAAAGGCAATAATAATAAAGATAGGCTTTTCTGAGCACCACTGAGTGCCAGGCACTGGTGTAAGTGTTACAATGCTTATAACTCAGTGCCCTCATCATGGAGTCCTCCTGCCAGCACCGCGTGGTGAAGTTCCATTTTGCAGAGGAGGAAACTGAGATCAACTGGCTTGTTCAAGTTCACGCACCTAGGAAGTGGTGGAGCCAGGTTTGACTCAGGCCGGCTGGTTCCAGAGCCCATGGGCCTCAACTCAGCCAACGAGCCCATTCGCCTTGCCAGGGCTTGGTTTCGCTGAAGCGGGGCTCCAGGCTGGAGTTAGTTTTGTGAAGGGGATTAGCCCTGGTGGCCGCTGGCTGCTGACAGCTGGCAGTTGGAGTGGGCGAGGCTGAGGGGGCCCCTGGGCCTGGGCAGCTTGGGCAGGAGCCGGCGAGGAAGGGGAGGTGCCTCAGGGGGCCGCCTGGGTGTCGGTGCGGGTAGAAAGGCGGGAGAGACAGGCAGAGGCAGCCGTCTGGGTTGTACAACCTGCAGCCCACGCACGCCGAGAGCCACCAGCGTGGAGTCAGGATGAGGAGTCCTCCTCCCACCTGGTGTGGGCTGGAGTCCCAGGAGCGGGTGCTGGAGTGGGATAGCGGGGGATCAGCTCATCTGAAGCCCTGGTTGTGGGTGAGTGCGTGCACACGGATGTGCGTGCCTGCGCATGTGCGTGGCGAGGGAATGCGCCCTTGTGGAATCTCCCCTAGGGCAACCTGGCAGTGTGAGGCTGACCCTTGCCCCAAACCTCCTGTCCTCGGGCGTGACATCAGTCCCCAGCTGGGCTGTGAAATGAGTCCCAGTCGAATCCTTCCCTACACCTACTTGAACTTACGTCCCTCATTGACACTTTCAGAGCTGACCCTGGGTAAGCGGCCCTCTTATTCGGCAGACCTCGCCTTACTCAAATGATTTTTGGCCTCCCCAGGATTTGCCCTGATACATTGCTTCGGCTGCCTGCAGGGGTGGGCTCTCCTAGTTCTCTGAAGGGTCAGAGGATCGAGAAGGCGCCGTGTGGGAACCACCTGGAACAGGGCCTGGACTGTCACGCATGGTGCTTGAGAAGGGAGAGGGCAGCTGTCACCTTTAACACCCACCCACCACCTTATTTCCAGATGGCACCCAGCACCCTTCTACGTACTGCTCTACTGGCACCTGCGCAGACAGCCAAAAGTCACCGGGAGCTGCAGCGTTCCGTTTTGGAGCAAAAGCGAGATCATGGAGTTGAAAGGGACTGATTTTCACTTTCTTGCCTGGCTCCTAGGCTCACTCAAAGGGCACGTTTCAAAGAGGCTCTCTGGAACGAGGAGCCTTCTGTGGAGGGACCTGCTCCATGGGACTTTAAGAAGGGGGTGGTGGGCTGTTTTGGGGGAAGATGAGTGTATGCCACACCCTCCACAAGCCATTTGGCTGGCTCATCCCAACGTGTTGCAGAGGCGGCTGGCCCGGGGCAGGGAGGCTCATTCTGGCCATCCCTGGGTTGCTTGTGGGGCTACTTTTCTGGCCATGATGACCCATGATTTATTATGACCCCAAGCACGACCTCTTAGACTTGGGAAGTGTGGTTCCTCCAAAGGGATCAGAGAATAGTGACAGAGTAAATCCAAGAACGCTGTAGAAGGAAGACACTTCTTTAGGCCTCTTAGAGTTAACTGCTTCCTATTCAACCTGGAATTAGTTCACGGACCCTGCTGTCTTTGGTAATACCTCGGTAATTTTCCTTAATAATTGTAACAACTGTTTCACCTTGTTTTCCTCAAATATTAGGCTGTTATTTCAACCAAGTGTGTTTTGGACTTTAACCAGAGACTATGGCACAAATTCTGAAGTCAGGTTTATTTATTTTTTATTTTTTAATTTTTTCCAGCTGTGGGCTGGCTCTGGCTCAGCCATCTGAAAATAAGTTATTTATATATATGTGTGTAGCCATATAGATATACTCATCCACATATACGAAGACCACTTCCAAGTCTTTTTTAGTTTGTTGCATGTGACCCCACAGAATTCCTTGGACCCAGCTGACCAGGGTTTGACACCCACTTCGTGTGATCTGGCCAGACCCAGCTACTCCAAGCCCCTCTCCTCACAGGGAAAATGGCAAAAAGCAGTGTGTAAATGTCTTATCAGGGCTCTGTATACATTAGATGCTCAATAAAGCTCTCATTTGGGGAAGCTGGATAACAGAAGTGGAAAGAAACAGAGGGACCTGGTTCACTTCCTTGTGAAATAAAAAAAGAGGAAGGGAGGGAAGCAAAGAAAGGAGAGGGGAAGGGGGAGAAGGTAGGATGGTGATGAGTGAATTATGCCAGCTTCCTGTCCTTGGGTAAGTTATTTATTTAACACCTTTGAGGTTCCATGTTTTTATCTATAAAATGAAGACAATAACCCCTACTTCATTTAGTTGTTTCGAGGATTACACAAGGCGATGGGTGCACCCCACACCCGATTTCTAGTTAGTGTTTGTACTGGACCTGCACGTAAGCACCGTAGATGCATAAAAAAAGGCAAAGGTTGTATTTTAATTTTTTCGAGCACCAATGAATTAGCTATGATGCCATTAATAGAATGAGATGTCCTATTACCATTAGATGATGTTCTTAACATTCACATTAGGAACTGTGGGACAGGCTGGTCCCCATGAACTGGGGCAGGCTCTGGGATAGTTGTATTTATAGGCCTGAGCAAGAGGCAAACCAAATGCAGTCGTCCCTCCGGCAAGTCAGCCGCAACTCCAAGAGCGTGGAGCTGTCAGGAACTGAAACCCAGTCAGAGGCAAAAGTGAACCACGCTGCTCTGATTTCCTTGCCTGTGGGAAAGCAGGGGCCGGGGCGAATAAACAGGTCAGTGGGTTGTTTCTTCTCCAGCACTGCTCAGAGCCTGAAGTCCTGCCGAGAGCTTAAGCAAGACCAGCGTGGGGGGTGGGGAACCCCCACAAATACATCGCATCTCTTATCCGTTAAAATTCAAGATGACTCATCATTTTGTCTTCCTGGTAATCCAGACAGGGTCACTTTTCCAAAGGCCAAATTCATTGGCAGGACTTTTTAACAGGGACATTCTGACTTTTTAGAAAAAGGCCAAAGTCAACATCAGAAAATCTTTTTTCTGGTCTGCGGTAATAATAGCCACTGTTTGTCAAATGTTACTGTGTGCCAAGCACTGCACATGGTGCTCTAGGTACTTTTCTTATTTAATTCTCACAACCCCGGGAGGCAGATATTTATTCCCATTTTATAGATGAGGATAACAAAACTCAGATTAAGTAAAGACAGACATTGGGGCCAGCTCACTCCAGCAGAGGCTCCCACGATGACCCTCCCTGCTCCTCCCAACTCTGCGTCCAGTGACCTCACATTGGTGGCCTGCAGTCCATCATGGGGGGAGTATTTACACCATAGAAATTGGCAAATTGTACAAACCAAGGTCCTTCTCTTTTTTTTCCTCTCTCATCCTCAACTTCATATTCTTTCTAGTTCATGTCTCCACAAGAAAATGAGCTTTAATAGAGCATCATTTGAGGCTGGGCGTGGTGGCTCCTGCCTGTAATCTCAGCACTTTGGGAGGCCGAGGTGGGCGGATCACCTGAGGTCAGGAGTTCAAGACCAGCCCAGCCAACATGGTGAAACCTCGTCTCTACTAAAAATACAAAAATTAGCCGGGCGTGGTGGATTACAGCCGTGTGCCTGTAATCCCAGCTACTCGGGAGGCTGAGGCAGGAGAATCCCTTGAACCTGGGAGACGGAGGTCGCAGTGAGCCGAGATGGTGCCACTGCACTCCAGCCTAGGCGACAGAGCCAGAGTCCCTCTCAATAAAACAAAACAAAAAAAAAGGGTCATTTGGCTGTAGGCGATGGGTCCTCAGGAAGCCGGGCTGCTGGAAGAAGCTGAGCATTGGCTAACCAGGGTCCCTTGCCCCTCCTTCTCGGGGCCTCACAGATGCTTGATCATATCCAAGTATTGCTGGTAAACACGTGTGAGTCCTTTTCCTCATCAGTGCTAAGCAAGAGAGATTCAACTGAAATTACAAGGGCTGAGTAAGCCGGAGACAGGATTTACTAAGTATTAATAATATGCTGTCACATATGGTTCTTTTCATCTTCAAAGCATTTTATAGCCATTTACTAATTAGTCTTGGGCTGCCCTCTGTGTGCAGGTACGATGCTCGATGACAGGCTGAACCGGCAGGAAGTATTTACAAATATACAGGTGACCTTCACTCGTTTACAGGCGCCACCGGCTTCTGTTGCTGTTGCGGGGTAAAGATAAAATCACGCAAACCCTGGTGTTTGAGTCCCTGGTTCTGGAAACATACAGTGGTGACTGTCACCTTGTGCTGAATCCCCTCTAAGAAAACCAGCCCAAATCCTCCCCTGTGGCAAGGAAGCTGAAAGTCTTTTAAAAATAATCATAAATTTCCATCTTCACAAACCTATATAACGTCCATCATCCTTCACTGGGAAATAAAAAAATAAGCTTCAGTTTGTTCACGAGAGTATCGACACACGTGAGAATTGTTGCTGGAGGGGAGCCAAGAGCCTGGATTTGGTCTTGGCTCCGGCCCTGACCGGCCGGTGATCGTGGGTAACTCACTTAACTTCTCTCATCTTCTGTTTCCTCATCTGTGGAACAAAAGCAACCCTATTCAGTTGCTCACAGCCCAGGTCTGCTGTAAAGCTGTGTGAGCTAATGTGTGTGGCAAAACTTCTGAGTTAGACTGTGTGCTTCGCTGATGGGCAGGGTCTCATTCGTTTTCTGGGTCTGTGGGCCCCCAGGGGCTGGCAGGGGCAGGAGGATGACATTCCCAGACCACACTGCCCACTACTGGCTGCTGTCACTGCTGAATGCTTATTTGAAATGCTGAGGGGACGACCAGTCCACAGGACCTCACCCCCTCCCACAGTGCCAACCACCATCTGCTAGAAGTGGAACCAGTAAGAGTTGACTGAGCCTGGGCTTGCTTCAGACCCAGTTGCAGCTCAGAAGCAAGTCCGGGCTCAGTCAACTCTTGGTGCTGTGCACAGTAGAGCCCAATCCGTACCCCTCCATCAGGGGAGGGTGCCCCTAGCAATCCTAAGTGACCATGCCATGGCACCTTAGTGGGGGATGGAGGGGACATGGGGCATAGCACACAGCTGCCCTGAGTAGAGGGGCACCTTCTTGTGGGCACTCAGCGGGTCAGGGTCAGAAGCAGTGCCAGTGTGGTCAGCTGGCTTAGTGGGTCATGATCACTTGCTCAGTAGAATCGCTGGGGGAGTTTTATCAAAATCTAGAAGGCTAAGCTCCAGCTAGTGAGATTCCAAGTCAACAGGCCTGCAGTGGGAACTACCAGAGCAGTAGTTCCTAAAAAAATCTCCCCGGGTGATCTGATGAGCTGAGCCCACAATCCAGTCCAGCCCCCTCCTAGTATTAATATTATGGAGAGGAAGGGACTTACTCAAGGCCACATAGCCAGTTAATGGCAGGGCTGGGATATGGACATAGGACACTGGACTGTTGTTCTTGTCCTGGGAATTCCCAAAGTTTCAGGGTAGGGGGCATAGTACCCACACGGTGAAAAAACCCAGAGTTGGGCAGGCCTCCAGCTGACAGGCAAGATGGGAGGTCTGTTCCAGCTGATCTCCAGCCTCCTGAGAACATTCCTGGGTGCCAGAGAACACAGGAAGCAGAGGCACGACTTCTCCTCACCAGTCTTCACAAGGGCCCAGGGATGGTTCTCTTTTGCGCTCACCTGGTAAAAATGGGCTCCAATAGCCACGAGGGGAACTAAGGGACCAGGTGAGAGGCCCTGTAAAATCATGTGTGTGTCCTGCAGGAGGGGCCAGTGGCTTCGCCTTGGAATGGGAAGGCCAGAGGGTGTCAGGTCGAGCACCCAGGCCAGCTCTTGCCCTCACCTCTGTGGGTGGTGCGTGGGCCCTGCTTCCCTGTGTGGAAGGCCATCAGGACAGGACCATGCTAAACCAAACTGTAAACCTGGTGATATGGCCAAGCCGACGGTAGCCATCTTGTGTTTCAGCTAAGCGAGTGTGTGATGGTACAAGGAGGCCTGGCTCCAAGTTCCCAGGTTTGTTCCTAATTTGCTGTTTCTAATTTGCATGTTTCCTTAACTCTTGGGCCTTAGTTCTGTCCTCTGTACACTGAAGGGAGTAACGGGGTAGAAACGAGATGACTTCTGAAGACCCTTCTGGCTGTGATGATCAGTAAGTTCAGGGAAGATGTCGCCTGCTCAGGGTATCTTCCCCAGCTCTGTTCCTGGCTGGCTGCACAACTGCCAGTCCCCAAGCCCAGAAAGCAGACACATTCCTCTGATAAACCATGACACCCAAGCTTTGTCTTTGTGTATAATTCACACAGTGCTGCAGAGGCCCAGAGGGGATGGAGAGGGGAGAGCCGGAAGGACAGAGCCGTTGGTGCACTCACCAAACTTTAATGACTGCCTACTGTGTGGGGCTGGCCTGGGAACAAGGTGTCCACACAGGGGGCTGGAGGGGTATGGATGGCAGCGGGTGGGGCTGTGTGTGCTAGAGGCCATTTGTTATTGAGCAACAGCCTTAGGTCAGGCTGGATGAGTGGCTGAAACCCAGCAGGTTGGTCACATTGACTCAGGTAACTCCTTCTCGCCGTGAAGGACTGCCCCAGATAGGAAATGCTTGGGTATGAAACACACACATGCACGCACAGAGGGAAGACACTAGTTTCAGAGGAAGAACAGCGAGGGGCATTTAATCTTAGAACTTAAGAGGTCTCAGAGACAAAGGCTTTGGAAGAAAGGCGTGGGCATTCCTGAGGCTTTACTTTCCCCGGAAAATTACTGCACCATAATTTGTGAGTTTATTTCTTCCAACTAAGAAATAGAGGCAAGAAAGAGGGAGTAACCCGAAGTGAAGGGCTCTAGGATCCAGGGACCACCAGCCAGCTCAAGTTGGATTTCAGCAGTCGGGGCTGCCTGGGGCGTGCAAAAGCTGCTGTGTGAGCAAAACGCTGCCGTGAAGACATTCCAGGCGGCTTCCAGGAAGCGGCTGTATGTGCTGACACGCATGTGGACAGGCAGTCTGGCTGGCCACCTCTCAAGACTGGTGTTTCCTAGAGCTTTCCATTGGCAAATGCTGCCTCCTGGAACTGAGGGACAAAGGTTTTGAAATAAGCCCTGGTGGGAAAGAAGGGGAGAAAAAAAATTGTGGTTAGCACAAACAACTTGAAACAAAGTGCAACTGGGAGCTTTCAAGCTAACTCAGAACAGTTGTTATTTATTGTTCATGCATCTTGGGTTGGATTTGCCTTCTCTGCTGAGGCAAAGCCCTCCGGATTTTTCCGAGGAGATGCATGCAGTTCACTACTGTGACATCTCTCAGGAATATTCAAAGGGCCTGTACGTGCACCCTCCTGGCTGCCAATTCCTATGAGATATCTGCACTTAGGTCCGGCTGCCTTTTTTCAGGACAAAGACAAGGGCCTGGTCCAAGCTACAAGACAGTGTGTGTGCAATTGAACCACGCAGTCATTTAGTGATCTAGAGTATCAGGAAGGTTGCATTTTCCACTCAGTTGGACCTTTGACTTCATAAAGACAAAGAGGGTCTAATAAGTTTTTTAACACATTTGATTTTTTTAGAGACAGGACCTCACTCTGTGAGCCAGGCTGGAGTTCAGTGGTCCAACCACAGCACACTGTAACTCTGACCTCCAGGACTCAAGTGATCCTACTGCCTCAGCCACCCAAGTAGTTAGGACTATAGGTGTGTGCTACCATGTCAGCAATTGTTTTTTCATTTTTTCACAGAGACAGGGTCTTGCTACATTACCCAGACTGGTCTCAAACTCCTGGCCTCAAGGGATCCTCCTGCCTCGGCCTCCCAAAGTGCTGGGATTATAGGCCTGAGCCACCACACCCAGCCCTAATAATTTCTAAATGATTCATGGGCTCCATTTATTTCCAAACGCACATGCAGTCTGGTCTACTGGAAAGAAAGCTAGGCTGGGTGTTAAGAGAACATTTCCCAGTCAGTGGAAGAGGGGTGGCAGGACCGGGGGCAGCCCGTTTGGCCTTTCCGGCATCCAGGTTTCTAATCTGTGGAAGCAGGGCCACGTTCTACCTCAGATGTGCACCCGCCGAGCCCACACTGTGTCAGGCACTGTACAAGGCATCAGGGGTGGCGGGGTGACCCAGCCATGGGATCACGCCGTGTGGGAGAATGCAGTGTGGAGGAGACGGACACATGGGTAACCCCACATCAGGGCACCAATGGCAGTCCCGCGGGCCACAGTCCATGCAGCAGGGAAGGGGCAGTGGAGGGGCATTTCCAGCAGCAGCTTGCTGTCAGCTGAGAGGTGAGGGAGAAAAGTGAGGGGAGGAGAAGGGAGGGGCTGCAGAGGAAGGAGGTGGGCACCCGTGCTCCTGGTCACCAGGCTTGCCTTCTAGCCCTGCCCCACCGACACCCACACAATCACAGTGACACCTTACGTGTCCAGATATCTCACCTCAGAGCAATGGCAAGAACCAGGCAGGGCCACCAAGACCTGTCACCCTCAGCACTGCAAAGGTCTCATCGCCTCACCCACAGGGAACCTCCCACAGTCCATTTCATTTAGGATCTGGTCCTACTGAGCCTGGCTCTACCAGCTGCCAGCTCCCAGGAGATCAGAAGCAGCAAATCTGGAGTGGAGGAGCTAACCCAAGGGTAGGAGGCAGATTCACAGCAGCAGTGAGAAGAGAACAGAAAACTGCTCAGGAAGCACGAGCACTCACCGGGGATCCTGTGCCATAGGGCAAAGAGCCCCACGCAATCTGACAGGCCCTGGAGTTGTCTCTGGAGCAGAGCAAATGCAGCGGCTGGTGCCACCGGCTGCCCGCCCCCTTCAAGTCAACTGCAGCCCTCTTTCCAATCTGGCCTTGGAATGCTCCAGCTCTTTCTCAGTGCTGGCCTCCACCATGGCCTCTGCAGCACTGAAACGTCAGCTCCTCTCTCTGGAAGCTCTCTTTCCCTGTGACTTCTGTGACATGTGGTGCCACAGCTGTCCTGCCTCTCTCTACCTCTCCCTGCCCCTCCTTCGGCACTCCCAGGCGCCATCATCCTTGGGGTCACACAGAGCAAGGTGGGAACTCCTGGTCCTGCAGCACCGCTAGCCCAGCCCTCCCTCCCCTCAAACTTCCAGTCCCACGTCTCCAACCACCTGTGGGACACCCTACCTGTCACTCTGTAACTCAAACTAGTGTTCCAAATGGATGTTTTCATCACTTTTATGTATCTGAAAATGCTCTGACCAATTTGGTTTTCTGTAACAGAACCTTCAGTTTCCTTCCGAACCAGTTTCCATTCTCCCTAAACCCCTACGGTGAATTCATCCTCAAGGTTCCTGCCGCTAAGTCCCTCCATCCGTAGTGACTCCCATAGCTCCTGTCTTATCTTTCGATGGCACTGCTGCAGAAGCTGCTTCTCCCCTGGACATGAGGCCTCCTTTGCCTATGTTTGCAGCTACACTGATTCTCTTACAGTGTGAGTCTCTGTCCCTTTCCTGACCAAGACCTTAATGTCCTCCAAACTCTCAGCCTGGCATTCAATGACTCTATCTGGCTCCAAGTCATTAGGAAGAAAATCTATTCTGTTCCTCTATCACATTTTTTGAGATCATGCGACCCTTTGAGAAGCTAAGAAAGTGAAGGATCCTCTCCTCAGAGAAACTGCAGGTAAGACGCCCCACAGCAACCCGGGGATGTCACAGACCCCCCTGAGCTGGCCACGGTCCAGGATACGAGCCCTGGATCTACTGCCTCTCCCTTCTTCTCATTTGACTACTTGCTCTTCCTCACACATGCCATTTGCCACCTCTGGGCTTATTCATGCTCAGGACAAATACTCCTGCTTCCATCAAGTCTCCCCTGGTCCCCAGGAGGTCATCTCCCTGCACACTGTCCGTGCTTCTTCTGGGGCACTTGTCCCATGTGCACAGGTCTTATCTGCCAGCCCCTGGAAAGCGGGAGCACATCCTGCTCCCAGTGACCACTAGGCCTGGCTCAGTGTAGAAAGCACTTGGTGATGGGCTGTGGCTTTAATGTAACTAATGATGACCACGAGCTTGCAAGAAGCAGTTACAGTATGTCCATTACAAGCTGTTTAAGAAGGCGGGAGAGGCTGGGCGCAGTGGCTCATGCCTGTAATCCCAGCACTTTTGGAGGCCGAGGCGGGTGTATCACCCAAGGTCAGGAGTTCAAGACCAGCCTGGCCAACATGGCGAAACCCCGTCTCTACTAAAAATATAAAAATTAGCCGGGTGTGGTGGTGGGCGCTTGTAGTCCCAGCTACTTGGGAAGCTGAGGCAGGAGAATCGCTTGAACCCGGGAGGCGGAGGTTGCAGTGAGCCAAGATCACGTCCGCACCATGGCACTCCAGCCTGGGCGGCAGAGCCAGACTCTGTCTCAAAAAAAAAAAAAAAAAAAAAAAAAAAGAAGGTGGGAGAGACAGCAGCTCCAGAAAGAGAACAGGTACAATATTTAGGTACTAAGGAAGAACACTTTAGTCCATTCTCAAATTTCAAACTTTGCCAACAGTTAGTAAGAAAAAGCACCCTCTTCCATCCACTTGTGATCAGCACAGCCCTGAGCCAGCCAAACCGCCACCTTCTCTGGCACTCAGGACCTCAAAGCCCTTATCCATTAACGGCACCATGCCACAGTCGCCACAGTCACCCTTAATGCAAAAGGGGTGCTGTGGTGTGACAGAGCTCCAGACCTAGGCAAGGCCGGGCAGGGCAGGAGAAGCCCTGGGCTCTGTTCCCTTACGAACAGTAGGGGTGATAAGGCCACCTGATGCCACACTCGCATGGGACAGTGTGTGGGAGGAGACAGTCAACTGTTGGCTGCCACCCAGACGTGAGGGCCACTTATTCCTTCCATATGTTTCACCTGCTGCTATTTCCCCAGCAACATGGAAGTGCGGCCGGAGAGAGCCTTGTGGCCCCGCTTCTCCAGAGGGTCTGAGATCGACAGGCTGCCACCAACCTCTGCTGCATGGACTCTGGCCTGATGTGCACTGTGGAGTCTGGCCCATCCCAGTACCACTTTCAGGGAGGGCTGAATGTTCCCTAAGTTAGAGGTGAGGACGTCACCTTCCCTGACCTTACAGCTACGAACATCAAGGGGAGAGGCTGCAGCTGAGCTGCACTATAGCCCCCACAGGTGCCTGATGAGCAGATGGTGCTGGAGCCACTGCTGCCCTGGACGCTGGCCTGAGCTGGGCAGGGGTCGGGTCCGGGGAGCCCTCCACTTACCTCCCCAGGCCCAGAGTCACACTGGGTCCCGAGGCAAGCCTCATCAGCTTAGTCTTTCCTTGTAAACTTCTAGGGGAAGGGGCTACAACATTGCAAGCTCCTTACACAGAAGGGAGCACGTTTTAAAGGCAAGCTTTTTTCTTTTTAGAAAGTTCTAAAGTTTCCTGTTCTGTCCTGGGCTTTCCCTGCCAGGGCCAACTGCGTGCTGCCAAGGGGAAGCGTGGCGAGGGCTATTTAAAGGCATGATGCTACCAGCTGTTTTCGGCGAGTGCCTCTCAACTTGGATCCTCATTAAGTTAGTTAACGGAGTGGGAGGAGGGGGAAAGGGAAAATGACAACTGGCTCCCACCCATTTATAGATTTTTTAAAACGCTGTTTTCATTTATTTCACTTTTTATCAGAGAAAATGGAGAGCTGCCCAGAGTACAGATTGCTAATGGCAAGAGGTATCTGTCATCTTTGAAAAAACCTTTGACCCAGAGACAAAGTATGTAGTAAGCTTTAAAAGTGTAAGCGTGTTCTAGGGGATAGTGAAGTCTTCTCACCTCCCCATTAACTGGCCAAGTGGGGCCCACAGGAGAGGGCCCTGAGTGTCAAGCTCCTCACTGAATGCACACTGTAAGGGAATCTATTTTTAGATGGCATTAGAGCTCAATATGCCTGAGGGCAAAATGAGGTTCAGTCCCTCTTCACTGATCTCAGTCTCTCTGCTCAGGGTTTCATAAAATTACAACTCGGTCCAACCCAGGAGTCTCAGTTAGGAGAAGAAAACGTAAGGACTGGGTAGGTTTCCCATGAATTCAGAGCAGAAGCAGGGCTGGCCCAGGCTTCAGCTCACAGGCATGGCATGGTGGAGGGAACTGAATCAGGAGTCAGGGGGTCTACTTTTGTGGGCCTTGGGCCCAGGGTAAATCTCTTCTGGGCTTCAGCTCCCTCACCTACAAAGCAGGGTGCCATAACTGAGGGTCCTAAGGCCGGTGGGCTGTAGAAGGTGAGGGTAGCCTGTGCGGGGCAGGCTCTGGAGCCAGGCGGACTGGGCTCGAGGCCTGGCCACACTCCTTACTCGTTGATCATGAGGGCAAGTGACTGCAGCGTTAGTTTCTTCATCTAAAAGGCGGGAGTAACTGCCTACCTTAAAGGGTTCTTGTGAGGAGTGAATGAGATGGTCTGGGTAAGCGCTTGGCATGGTACCTGGCATAAGAGATGATCAATAGATGTCAACTATTATCATGGGTACCCGCTGGGGCCAAGGGGAAGAGGCTCTGAGTCTGTGGAAACAGCCAGAAGAACGCGTGTGTGCCGAAGCGGGAAACCTGTGAGAGGTCTAGGGTCCTTGTCCTCAGTTCAGCCTTTCCCGAGGCTCCTTGGATCAGGCCCTCCCTTCTCACTGATCACACTGAGCTGGCAATCGCAGGCAGAGATGGCCAATCTCAGGCTTGGATACTCAGCCAAAGTCATGGGACACTGTGTGTCTTTTGCAATCCAGTCTAGAGCTGCTCATGGCATCCTTGTGGCATCAAAGGACAAATTCTGTAGCCAGAGGCACCTCCAGCCCTTGCGTGTCTTCTGCCCCCAAACCTACCAGGTGTACTCCTTGTGTGTGGTGTGCAGTTTTGGTCAGGGCTTGACCAGGGATGATGCTGCAGCTCTTCCTAGAAGGGTATTTAGGAATCACATGGCTCCGGCTGCCAAGAGCAGGGTGTTGGTTGGCCTGGTCCTCAAACAGCTCTCCTTCTGTCCAGGACAACATGCATCGTCAAGGGGAGGCAGTGGGGGAAGTGGAAAGAGCACTGCACTAGGAGGCACAGGACTCACAGCTCTAGCCCGGGCCCTGGCTCATTGTGTCATCCAGAACTGGGACTCCATTTCCTCACCTGTAACAGGATGATTTCTACTTAATGATCTTATGACCACCCAGTTATGGTCTGAGATATCATCCATGTGATCTTGAGCAAGCCACTTAACCCTTTTGTGTCCTGATTCTTCATCTATTAAATTCAGACACTAGCACCTCTTTTTTCTCTTTTTTAAAAAAAGTTCCGGGATCCACGTGCAGGACGTTAGGTTTACTACATAATAAAAGTGTGCCATGGTGGTTTGCTGCACCTCTCAACCCAGCGCCTACGTATTAAGCCCTGCAGGCATTAGCTATTTATCCTGATGCCCCCCGATCAACAGGCCCCAGTGTGTGATGTTCCCCTCCCTGTGTCCATGTGTTCTCATTGTTCAGCTCCCACTTATAAGAGACAACATGTGTTTGGTTTTCTGTTCCGGTGTTAGTTTGCTGAGGATAATGGCTTATAGCTCCATCCATGTCCCTGCAAAAGACATGATCTCCTTGCTTTTTATGGCTGCATAGTATTCCATGGTGTATATGCACCACATTTTCTTTATCCAGTCTATCACTGATGGACTGGGTTGATTCCATGTCTTTGCTATGGTGAATAGTGCTGCAGTGAACATATGCGTGCATGTATCTTTATAACAGAATGATTTATATTCCTTTGGGTATATGCCCAGTAATGGGATTGCTGGGTCAAATGATATTTCTGGTTCTAGGTCTTTGAGGAATTGCCATACTGTCTTCCACAATGGCCAAACTAATTTACATTCCCACCAACAGTGTAAAAGCGTTCCTACTTCTCCACAGCCTTGCTGGCATCTATTGTTTCTTGACTTTTTAATAATCGCCATTCTGATTGGCATGAGATGGTATCTCATTGTGGTTTTGATTTGGGTTTTCTCTAATGATCAGTGATGTTGAGATTTTTTCATATATTTCTTGGCTGCATAAATGTCTTCTTTTGAGAAGTGTCTGTTCATGTCCTTTGCCCACTTTTTAATGGAGTTGTTTTTTTCCTATAAATTTGTTTAAGTTCCTTGTAGATTTTGGATATTAGACCTTTGTCAGATGGATAGATTGCAAAATTTTTCTCCCATTGTGTAGGTTGTCTGTTCATTTTGAA
Organism: Homo sapiens; assembly: GCF_000001405.40. Classification (NCBI taxonomy): domain Eukaryota; kingdom Metazoa; phylum Chordata; class Mammalia; order Primates; family Hominidae; genus Homo; species Homo sapiens. The sequence goes on along the minus strand of NC_000002.12, from coordinate 28,331,366 downwards.
GACAGTTTCTTTTGCTGTGCAGAAGCTCTTTAGTTTAATTAGATCCCATTTGTCAATTTTTGCTTTTGTTGCAATTCTTTTGACGTTTTTGTCATGAAATCTTTGCCTGTGCCTATTTCCTGAGTGGTATTGCCTAGATTTTCTTCTAGGGTTTTTATAGTTTTGGTTTTATATTTAAGTCTTTAATCCATCTTGAGTTAATTTTTGTATGAGGTGTAAGGAGACGGTCCAGTTTCAAATTTCTGCGTATGGCTAGCCAGTTTTCCCAGCACCATTTATTGAATAGGGAATCCTTTCCCCACTGCTTGTTTTTGTCAGGTTTGTTGAAAATCAGATGGTTGTAGATGTGCGGCCTTATTTCTGAGATGTCTATCCTGTTCCACTGGTTTGTGTCTGTTTTTGTACCAGTACCATGCCGTTTTGGTTACTGTAGTAAAGTCTGAAGTCACGTGATGCCTCCAACTTTGTTCTTTTTGCTTAGGATTGTCTTGGCTATACGGGCTCTTTTTTAGTTCCACATGAATTTTAATGTAGAATTTTTAAAAAAATTCTGTGAAGAATGTCCATGGTAGTTTAATGGGAAAAGCATTGAATCTATAAATTGCTTTGGGAAGTATGGCTATTTTCATGATACTAATTCTTCCTATCCATGAGCTTGGAATGTTTTTCCATTTGTTTGTGTCCTCTCTGACTTCCTTGAGCAGTGGTTTGTAGTTCTCCTTGAAGAGGTCCTTCACATACCTTGTAAGTTGTATTCCTAGGTATTTCATTCTCTTTGTAGCAACTGTGAATGGGAGTTCATTCATGATTTGGCTCTCTGCTTGTCTACTGTTGGTGTATAAGAATGCCTGTGATTTTTGCACATTGATTTTGTATCCTGAGACTTTGCTGAAGTTGCTTGTCAGCTTAAGAAGCTTTTGGGCTGAGACAATGGGGTTTTCTAGATATAAGATCATGGCATCTGCAAACACAGACCATTTGATTAACTCTCTTCCTATTGAATACCCTTTATTTCTTTCTCTTGCCTTATTTCTCTGGCCAGAACTTCCAATACTATGTTGAATAGGAGTGGTGAGAGAGGGCATCCTTGTCTTGTGCTGGTTTTCAAGGGGAATGCTTCCAGCTTTTGCCTGTTCGGTATGATATTGGCTGTGGGTTTGTCATAAATGGCTCTTATTATTTTGAGGTATGTTCCACCAATACCTAGTTTATTGAGAGTTTTTAACATGAAGGAATGTTGAATTTTATTGAAGGCCTTTTCTGCATCTATTGAGATAATCATGTGGTTTTTGTCTTTACTTCTGTTTATGTGATGAATTACATTTACTGATTTGCATATGTTGAACCAGCCTTGCATCCTGGGGATGAAGCTGACTTGATTGTGGTGGATAAGCTTTTTGATGTGCTGCTGGATTCAGTCTGCCAGTATTTTATTGAGGATTTTTACACTGATGTTCATCAGGAGTATTGGCCTGACATTTTCTTTTTTTGTTGTATCTCTGCCAGGTTTTGGTATCAGGATAATGCTGGTCTCATAAAGTGAGTTAGGGAGAAGTCCCTCCTTTTCAATTGTTTGGAATAGTTTCAGAAGAAACGGTACCAGATCCTCTTTGTACCTCTGGTAGAATTCAGCTGTAAATTCATCTGGTCCTGGGCTTTTTTTGGTTGGTAGGCTATTTATTACTGCCTCAATTTCAGAACTTGTTATTGGTCTATTCAGGGATTCAACTTCTTTCTGGTTCAGTCTTGGGAGGGTGTATGTGTCCAGGAATTTATCCATTTCATCTAGATTTTCTAGCTTATTTGCACAGAGGTGTTTATATAGTATTCTCTGATGGTTGTTTGTATTTCTGTGGGGTCAGTGGTGATAGCCCCTTTATCATTTTTTATTGACTAGCACCTCTTTTCAAGGAGGTTGTGAGGAGAATGGAAATGTGTATCAAGTACCAAGCCCAGGGCCCCACACAAATGCAAGTTTCAGTAGGAGGTGGTAATGCTGCAAAGGTGGTGGGAGTAGTTGGGTTATTATTGGATCGTTTCCATCTGCATAGTTTTATACAAATGGGGTAGGGTTAGTGAACGCTGCAGAGCCCCGAGCAAAAAGTGCCATAGACAGTTTTGTCGGGGGACATGAAGGCCTGTTCCTCTCGGCCACCCCTCTGCCCTCTAGCTCAGGAAGCATAAGTTATCAGGGGTAATGCCTGGAAAATGACATAATGGTTGGGTTCTAGAGAAGGGGAAATCAGGAGACTGAAGAAAGTTAAGACAGGGAGCTATCAGGGAAATGCTCAGAGGCCTTGGGGTTGAGGCCAGTAGGAAACTTTGTTCAACGAAGTCTCATCTAAAGGGTTCTTTCCTACTGGAATTACAATGCTTTATTGATTCAATAGATCTTTTCAAAAGGATAAAAATCCATAAAATAGACGTCTGACAAACTGAATCAATATAGCTTTAAATAAATGAAAACAAAACACAGAATATACAACCCAAAGAGGTTGGGGACTGGCAGCGGGGAGAGAGCACCTAAGGCAGTTAAGCTTTGCAAAGGTGGTGCTCACAACACTACTGGGTGTGGCAGGGGTCATGCTCCCCATTTTGCAGGAGAGAAAACAGAAGCTTAGCAAGTTTAGTTAAGATACCTGCCAATGTCACTCCAACCCCAGTGCCACTAGAGCCCGGCCCCGTGGACGAGACCCTGTGGTCTTGTTGCTGTTAGCCTCCTTCACTTGGAACTTTTTATTTGGCAAGAGCCTAACAGTTGCCTTCTTCCAAAACAGGACTTGAATTCTGGAATTCAAACATGCTTTTCTTTGGGTAATTGTAAGATGAGCCTCATGATGTTTGCTAGAGTCAGGCCAATGTGGTGGTAGGGTGGGGTGTGGTAGGAGAAGTGGTTCAGGGACACAGCCCTCACTGTCAGGAAATCAAGGGCATAAATCAAGTCAGAGGTCATTTTTGCAAATAGAGGCAAGTTCCAACATCTAAGGCTCACTGCTTTTTCCAGTTTTCTTCTGCAGCTGTGACTTCAACTGGCACATGTTTTTAATCAGTCATATGAAAACCGATTGTGGTCTGAAAATCAAAGCAGTCCTGTAAATAGTGTAAGACAAGTCCTGCTAATCATGCCTCGTGGTCTTGCCTTGTCCTCATTGTCCTGAACCGCCACTGTAAATTCTGACTCACTTGGGGTTACTCGCCTCGTGTCAAAGGGCCTCGTGTCAAAGGGTCATCCTCACAACAGGATGGCTACAAAGAGACCTGCTTCTGTTTCAATGTCCTTCACCCCAAACCCTCCAAAGGCCCCTGTGACAACTGCCATCCAATTCTGGGTGCCTTGGTGAGTGAGTGACTGGCACGATGGGAGCTTGTTTTGTAATTATGCCCCGGGCGATGGCAGCCTGGCTCTCGGGTGTGGGCTTTAGGAACAAACAAGTGCTTGTAACTGGTTCATGTACACAGTCAATCTTGCTAAATGCGCCAACCCCTGAGCATGCCTGGTCTGTTTTCAGGGGGTCTAAGCTTGCAAAACAAGGAAATTAACAAACTTGAGATGCAAAGGCTTGATATCGCAGTGGGAACACAGTACCACATGCTCACAGCTTCAGGCAGAGGCCCTTGCCCTCAGCTGGAATCAATCTCCCCTCTACTCGATTCCACAGCATGCCGGGCCTCCAACCTCAGGCTGGGCTATGTCTGCCTTGCGTTTGAGATATTTAGATTGGTGTCTAGACTACAATTTATACAGCTCGGCCTCCTCGCCTGTGAGAAGGCTGACTGTGGTCTCAGTATGTGTTGAATTAAATCAAATGCCGTTTTAGGAGGACTTCAACAACAACTGACTGAGATCCATTTCTAGACATCAAAGTATTGGGATGAATTCTGGTTCCTGCTAAATCACAGGGTATTTTTAAATACTTACCAAAGTGATCAAAATTACTGAGCAGTTCTCTCTCCCTCTGAGGCCCTCCAAGGAGGCCCTCTGGAGCTTGGCCAGTTCCTCTGGGGCTGGAGCAGCTTGCAGCCAGTTTTTGCAACTGCAAAGGCCAGGACTTGCTCCCACGGGCTGCAGGCATCTCTGCTCCCTTGGCATCCCCTGGTGCAGCAGATGAGAAGGAGGAGGAGAAGGGAGGGCCAGCTGGCTAAATGGAGGGAGGGACAGGGTAGTCCTAATGGGCTCCTGAGCCTCCACCGGCCATGGGACCAGCTTCTTTCTCTGGCGTTCATCACAGATGTATGCACGCATCTACACATACCAACCATTCTCTCACACCCTGGAAGAAGCTCCCTGAGGGCAAAGCCCATGGGTCGTATTCATCCATCTTTGCATCCCCAGCCTGGAGCATAGTGTCCAACACTCACCAGCTCAATAAATATTTCTCAAATGCAAGCATTTGGCTTACTTAAGATATACTTTAGAATGATAGAATGTTGTAATTAATAGAAGGAAAAAGGAAACTGCCGAGGTCAAACATTACAAGGAAGGGGAAGGGGAGACTAAGGGCGGGAGGTTAGGATGGTTCCTGTGACACTGCGTATCCTAATGGCACGTTAGCATAGGTCATCCCTGTAAGTGCCTAGAGGGCAGAATTTGGGGATGGTTCACCCTTAGTGCCCTTGGTGCTCACCCTGTCAGAAGCTCCCAGAAGATGAATGTCAATTTGGTGCTAAATGAATGCCTGCCTGCCCAGGGGGTTGACCTGAGGCCCCAGAGCTAGTAGGCGGAGCGTGAGCCAGTCCTCTCCATCCCCCTCCCTCTCAGACTGCCGTGCCCATCATAACCTGCTTGATGAGAGGCAGGAATGGCTGTGTGGCACTGAGAGAGGCTGGGAAGATGGGTGCACCTGGCTGGGCTGGGGCTGGGAACGAGGCCAGGTGGTGGGTGTGGGGGGCTAAGGAATGTGCTGCTGCCTGGGGCCTGGGAACCCAGAGAAGAGCCCCAGCCCTGGGTTTATCTTGTCTCCCCATCTGCACCTGCCTGGTGTGCCCAGATGGTGAGTCCTCTGCTCACTCTGCCCAGGGCTGCAAGAGCAGGCGCTCAGCACAGACCATGATGTGCTGATGGCCACGTGGCTGCCTGGGGTGGGGTGCAGGGAGCTCACCACAGTCCCGGCCAGGAGGAGGGCTACTCACGCAGCTCACCTGCTGGGAAAAGTGGGCCGCCTGTCGGATGGTGGTGAGTCACCACCAAGCTCACAGATTACCCTCCACTTTTTAGTCATCGAAAGGGGAAAAACCAAAGGGTGACCCTGAAAGAGGAAGTGCCCAGGGACCCAGCAGAGCTGAACCTGGAATGTGGGTCCAGGCCCCAAGTCACACCCCAGCTGGAACAGTGCTCCGAGGTTTGTGCGCAGCATGGTCAGGCATCAGCCTCCACAGCAAAGTGCAGGACTCCCAAAGGAGGGCCTCAGGAACACTTAGGAGATCAACTCCTTGAGGCCTCTAACCTTCCCCTCCCCTGAGTCTCTCTAGGGCTTTGAAGTGTTATTTGCCTGGTTGTAAGTTCACTTTCTTCCACCAGATCTCAGCATCCAGAGGCCAGAGCTCATGGCTTCCACAGGTGCTCAGGCCCCTGCATGCTGGCTTTTGGACACAGCTTTTGGTCACCCAACACTCTGGGACATTCACCCCCCTGGCTGGGTGTTTGAGGATGTGGGGGAGGGGCAGCAAGATGGCCATGGTCCCTCCTCTCTTCACCCTTATCCCCCTGACAGCTGAAATCACACCGCAGACACCTGGCTCTCTGGGCTTTCAGACAGAAAAGCAGCAATTCCCAAAGAAGAAACTACTCAATGGGAGAGGGTGTCCAAGCTCCACTCTCCCTGCTGGGGTACAGTGGCCTTCTGGAGACAATGGCCTTTGGTAACAAGAGTAATTCTCACAACAGGAACTTCAGGTGGGCTCTGCTGGGGTAGGGTGTGGGGAAGTTCCATGCAGGCTGGCAGATGACAGAACGTCTGGCAGGAGGGGGCCTTACAAGTCTTCTGTAATCATGCAGTAGAGAGGCTGGGGGCAAGCACAGGAGGAGGAGATGCATCTGCTCTGCTGGGCTGCAGGGATCACTCCACACTGCACCAGCTCGGGCCCTGCACATGCTGACAGCAGGTAGCCCTGCGGCCCCAGGCTTCCGTTACAGAAAGGGAGGGAGGGAAGGAAAGGAAGGGCATATATGCAACGTGGATGAATGATATCCACACATGGTGTAAAGAAGGCTTGTTCAAACAGTGGATCACAAAATCCATTTAGTGGGTTCTGAGCAGCATTAAAATAAAGTGAAATAAAATCAGAGTGCACTGTATGTGGCACTTTTGTTTTAGTTATATATACTGGATTCAAATGTAAAATATCTTGTAGATTGTGGTTAAAAAAAAAAGTCTGGAAGCCATGAGTATAAGGAAAGGGAGGTGCCTACTACATGCCAGATATCATGCTACTTATTTTCATGTGTATTATTTTATATTTACTCCTTCTAACAGGCTTACTACCAGGCAGGTGATTCTATTTTTGCCAAAAATAAATCTACGATCAGAGATGGAAAGTAAGTTTTCTTTTCTTTTCTTTCTTGAGACAAGGTCTCTCTCTGTCTGCACTCTGTCACCCAGGCTGGAGTGTGGTGGTGCAATCTTGGCTCACTGCAGCCTCGACCTCCAAGGCTCAAGTGATCCTCCTGCCTCAGCCTCCCGAGTAGCTAGGACTACAGGAGTGCACTACCACGCCCAGCTAATTAATTTTTTTTTTTTTTGTAGAGATGGGGTCTTGCTATGTTACGGGTCTCACTATGTTGCCCAGGCTGGTCTCAAACTCCTGAGCTCAAGTGATCCTCCTGCCTCAGCCTCCCAAAGTTCTGAAATTATAGGTGTGAGCCACCATGCCTGGCCCAAAGTAACTTTTCTAAGATCACACAGCTAATAGGTGGCAATGCTAGTTATGAATCCAGAGCTGCTTGACTCCAAAGGGCACATTCTTTCCATGCCACCATGATTTCCAGTGGCAAGTGTACTGTCCACTGAGTCGGGAGCCTTGGGTTCTGTCCCTGGCTCTGCTATATCGTGGTGAATCACTGCTCTGTTTTCTCATCTATGCAGTAAGGGAGCAAGATAAATAATTTCTAAAATTTTTTGATTTCGTGTTCTCTCCCATCCCAAACCTCATTGTGGCTGTATTTTAGTCTCCTCCATTAAACTTTTCCTAGAGCTGCCAACAGCTCAGTAATGAATTTCGAGGGCTACTTACTGCCAACCCCCATTGCACCTACATTTGTTCTACAAAACCCCCTAGATGGCCCTCCCTCTGGTAGCTCTGTGTGTCTACAGGTATTGACTGGTGCTGTTCACTCTCATCTTGGGATCTGCATCGTGTAGCTTTTCAGCAGAATTATGACTATGATAACAAGAGACAAAAGGGATGACCTTGACCTCCCTCTCACGGGCCCATGTGGTTCTTGGAAGTGCTGGGGCACCCTAATGAAGAATGCAGGCTACTCTGAGTGTCTGGGGGAAGGAAAAGAAGTTCAAGAAGGAGGGTGTGTGCAGTCCACCTAGGTGACATGTGAGGGACCACAAATGTTCTCTAAATAACGAGCCCCAGAAGAGCAAAGGAAGCCCAGAAGGTTCCTGTAACATAAAGGTCATCTTAAAACTCCCTAGGGTTGATGAGGGGCAATATCTCTGTGACTTGCTGTCACAGGGGAGGTAACATCATCCCGCATAGTCAAACTGTGGACTTGGCACGGGAGCTTTAGCTGTGATTCCAGCTCTGCTTTTCTCTGCTACGCTGCTTTGGAGAAGCCACTTCACCTCTCTGTACCCCAGAGATGCCTCATCTGCAAAGTGAGGGGATGGTTTCTGAGGTCACTGCTCAGTCTAATATACTATTATCCATTATTATTATTTCTGCTTTGGTATTAATCCAACCACTTAGCCAGAGACAGTTTCTTAAGTGGAAGCAGTAATGTAACAAATGACCTCTCCCAGCGCTTAGCTAGAGGGGTTAAGAGGCAAGAGCCTTCACAAGCATCATCAGAGGTGCTGCACGGGTCTGAGCCGTCTATCTCCCCTTTGTCTCCAGATCTGACTTAGGACCTCAAGAATGCTGGCCAGTATCCATCCTGCTCATGTTCCTTCCACCCTTCAAATCAGCAGACAACTAAATATTCACACACTCATGGGCCACTCCTGTGCTAGTAATGGGCTGGTTCCTGCAGGGGTAAGGGACTGCATTTGGGCAGGGCCCTGGCCCTCAGGGGACACACAGTCACTTGACTCCCAGAGCAGAGAGAGCTGCGTGCTCACCCTGGATGAGAGTGGGGGGCTCTGCTTTCACAGCCACGGGCAGAGCCCTCCTTGGCCTGCCGCTTCTTACTGCTATTGCTTTGGAAGAGCAGGAGCAAAATTCCTGCCTTGGGCTGGCTTTCTTTTCTGCTCAGAGGTATGTGGGGATATTATCCAGCAGGCCAGACGTCTAGCCCCTTTAATGACAATAATGATAATTTACATTTATACAAGGCCTTTCATTGGGGGATTTTAATTGTATCACAAACAATAATTAATTCCCCTTTGCAAGTCTGGCAGTCAGCTAAGCAGGAGCCCCTTTACTCTGCAGGTGAAGGGTGCTTTCCTGGGCCTGCAACATGCTGGGGGTCTCCCACCTACCTGACACCTACCCACCCTCAAGGCCTGGCCTAAGCATCGGGGCCTGCGGCCGCCAACCACAGCCCATGACTGCTTGTCCTGCCTCTGAAGCTCCACAACACGAACTGTTGAGCCACTCATTTGGTGCTAACCAGAGAACCTTGCTGTTGGGCGAGACCTCAGGATCTTGTTCAAGGCAGGGCTTGGCCCAGCAGCACTTCTGGGGGGTGATCCTCACCCTGCTGGAACACCTTGAGAGCGCGTTGCTCAAAGGCGCCTCTAAGAGTTACAGGGTTCTTCTCTCTCCCGAACTGGAATCTGTCCCCTTGAAACTTCTGCCCATGGATCCCAGTTCTGCTCTCTGGAATGAAGCAATCTTACATAAACTGTCTGGGGTTGCTGGTTGATGTTTCTGGTTCGTAAGTTGTCTACTTCTGTGGTCACCCTTGGGCGGAGCTTGGTGGCTCATACTTCACCGAAGTTCAGGGACACTTGTGCACCGAATGGTAGGGGCAGCTGGAAGCTCCATCACTGGGGAGTGCCTAGCTTTACATGCAGCACTCCAGACTACTCTGCCCCAGTCTCAGTGGTATAAACACTGGAGGCTTCTGAGTTCATTTCACTGGGGCTGCACCTCAGTGACACAGAAGTACCCTAATTTTCTGTTGAATGACTGAATGAACAGCCTTCCTTCCTAAGGATCTATTATTCTTAAGTTCATGCAACCACTGTCAATTGCAGGGACTTGTTTTTGGAGACCAAGCCAGACAATAATCGATCTAGTTTTTTTTTTTTTTAAACTCACTTTATCAGAATAAATATTTGGTGCTAAACTTGAGAAGCAGATGTATCAATGCTGAGCTGGGAACTGACCCGGGACAAGGAACTCCACAATCCTCCTCCTCTCCAAGCAGTGAGAGGCAAAGGTGGGGCAGAGGGGCAAATGAAATCCTTTGCTAAGTTTATTTTTAAAAAGCTAGATCTTCTGGGGAAACCAACACTCCCTAGAGTGATTTCTGGGTCCCTGCTGGTTTGCTTTTTGCCTGAAAAGACACCGGCCCTCCCTCTGCCAAGAGCACATTGTTTGGGTGAGATTTTTCTCACAGTGGCTTACCATGGAAGGAATTTCGAGCATGCATTAAAGGCTGTTGTTTTCCTAAAACCTGCGCAGTATGAACAAGAGGTTTGGCTAGTGGTGACACAGCCTCATTCTGCTTAGATTTCACACGATTCCTATTTTCTGGCCTAGAATCAGGGGTGATCATTTTTGGCTTGGGTTTGGCCTGGGTCATAGATCTGAGGGATGCTTGGGAAAAGAAACATGGGTTAGAGATGGAACCTCCTGGTGTCATTCTGTGGCAAGAGGAACACGTGGCAATCATTCCCTATCTGATTAAGTGGGAAGAACATGGATTTTCGAGTAAGAGAAAACTGAATTTAAATGTGGATCTATTACTTACTAGCTGTGTGTCTGGAAAAGCCCCCAAGTCTCTGTTTCTCTCCAGTGACCAGTTGTTATGAGGCAACAGTGCCAGGCACATGGTAAGAACTCAAGCCTTGGTTTCCTTCCTGCCCACCCCTCCACTGCCATCATACAGCTACGGACACACACACATTGAGGACCTCCTGTTTCACGTTAACTCAACAAACAGTTATTGAACAGCTCTTATTGACAAGGGCCTGGACCTCCTGGGAACACTGTCCAACTAGTGTCTGGTACCAATAGGTATATATATAACATTTGTTGAATAAGTGAATTAACTAACTTGATACTTCTTATTTTATAGTTTATAATGTGCTTTCAAAATAACCTCATTTTAATCCAAGCAACAATCATGTGTATGAAATCGATCCCATTACTCTACTCCCCCCATATACATGAAGGAGCAGGCTTGGAGAGGAGTAACTTGACCAAGGCCAGGCACATGATAAAGGCAGAGCGGGACTTGGAAGCTGCAAGCCCGTGTCCTGATGACAGCACACTGCCAGCCCTGGAGGGTCTTCCTGCCTTCTGCAGCCACTGAGGGCTAAGGCTGAGCAGGAAGGGCAAGGCTCTGGGTGCACCCATGTTCCACTAGAAGGCACCCCGCTGAGTGATGCTGCCAACCTATGCCTGGCCACGGCAGGCTGCAGCTAAATGTGAGGACATCACCATGGGCCTGGCAACGTGGAGTAGTAATGAAATTGGAGACATCTGCCAGCAGTCGGGTTTCTTTCTCTCAGGCCCTGGGCCCCCGTCCTGCCCTGATGTGCACAGATGTTTCCAGGTTGACTTCACTGGGCTCCCACTGCCCTTCTCAGAGTGTGCGACAGCGCTGACATGCAGGTACTGTCCTTTACCTTCCTGTCACATCCTTCTAGGTCACAGAGAAGAAGCGATGGGCGCAGGACTCTAACTTTTCCTTAGCATGGTGCTCTGCACATTTGGGTCTCACAACAGGAACAAACTTCATTCCTTCTTGTTCCCAGTAGGCTCTTAAAACCAAGTAAGGGGACAGGAAGCAGACACTGGGTCCTGGGCTGCTGTCGGCTCGCTGCCTCTTTCTTCCCACTCCTCTAGCCTCTGAGCTGCTGGGAACCGCTGATAGATGCAGAATTAAAAGGGTAGGACAGGAGTCTTTCAAAGTTTGCCCATATGGCTGGCTCAAATACAATTTCCAGCATGAATTGAGTGGTGGAAATCGGATCTGACCACAACACTGCAGCACCCACAGAGTTCATCACAGTCTTCTCCAGGCCATTCTGACAACACTCCCTGCCGAGGGTGGGTGTCCCGGTGGAATGCCGCCACAGCACACACTGCGCAGTGGGGAACCCAGTGCCTCGGGAGTGAGGTCACTTCCCCCACCGTGAGCCTGTCTATTCTGGACCTCTGAGCACATTTCTCTGTGCTGCAAGTGTATTGCCTTTGAGGTTGAACTGTGTGGAAAATCATGTGCACTCCTTGAGCTGAGCTGAAGCTGGCAGGAGGAGCCAAGGCTTGGGCTCTCCTGCATAAGCACCTGGCCTAGGGCAGGGCCTACAGCGTCTGCGGCCAGAGGACCAACTCTCTGCTCCCAGCATGGGGCACCGATCCTTCAGCCCTGACACCAGCCACACTTGCCTTGCAGTGTTGCTGAAGGAGACAGGGATGAAGAGGTGTGCTGGTGGCTAGCCTAGTCCGCTGTGTCCTCAAAGACCAAGGCCAAGCAGAGTTAACCTGTTGTTGTCCAGCTAGAACCCTGAGGGAACCCCACAGACTTCTAACATGCCAGGTACAAGAGGCGCAGGGAGCTGTGCATTTGGAAGTGCAGCTTCTGCCCCGCACAAAGGCATCAGGCCAAGAGAGCAAACGGGGGCTGAAATTGAGCCTGTGCTCTGCGTGCTAAGCTGTGTGCTCACTCAGGGACAGAGGCCCAGACAAAGGGACAGCTTCTACTTTACCTAAAGCTAACTCTGCACCAACCCAAAGGGGGAGCCTTTTCTTTGTTTGCACAAAGGTTCTTACTGGCCAAGGTGACCCTGAGAAGTCCATTCAGTTCTGTGTGTTGGGTTCCCTATTACACATCTGGTGCACTAACATGGGCATGGGGAACTTCACTGGGACGCAATTCTATAAATTAGAACCTTGTTTGGATGGGCTTTGGAGTAAGAAAGTGAAGATTTCTTCCTTCCTAATTTGCATTTTTAAAGGCATCTTCAGAACCCATTCTTGTTCTCCTGGCCACAGCCTACTGCACTGCCCCACCGCTTAGAGTTAATCTTTTCCATCCCATTGCTTAGGCTCAGAAAGGAAGGCAAACACAGACAGCCCAGGGGTGAGGTGGAGTTTGGGCAGCCCTACAGGTTCTCCAGGACAGCATTTGGCTCCCTTTCCTGCCATGTTTATTAAGCAGACGAATCAGCATTCTCTTCCAGGTGGGCACAAATGGGTGTCCCACCTCAAACCATGCCACTGAAGACAGTCAGATTAAACCATGCCTACACAGCTGGGATATCTTTTCTCCAAAACTGGGGGACACCATGCATACCAGAGCCATTAGACCAATAAACAAATACAGACACACAGCAAAATCAACTCCGTAAAAACACGGCAAAATAAGCCCCGCCCTTTGTAAAGTTCAACAATCTCAAAGCATGCTTTGTTTTGCTAACTACTACAGGATGGAAAGAGGCCCTTTCCAGTTAGCCCCTATTCCAGGAGCTCTTTCTATTCAAGAATTGCCTCAAGTTCAAGAGTCATAGAACGCTGGATTTGAAAACCCTAGAGATTATCTAGTTCAGGGATCAGCAAACTCTTTCTGTAAAGGACCAGATAATCAATATTTGCAGCTTCCAAGACCATACCTGTATTCTATTATAACAATTCAACTCTGGCCTTGGAGTGATAACAGCCATACATGATATGTAAATCAAAGGGTATGGCTGTGTTCCAATAAAACTTTATTTATAAAAACAGGCAGCTGGATAGCTTTGCCCTCAGGCTGTTGTTTGCCCAACCCTTATCTAGTCCAGCCCTTCCTTGTACAGAGGAGAAGAGATGAGGTCGCTCCTTCACAGTCAGGGTCATTTGGAGGTCCACCCAAGACCAAGACCCGACTTGCAAGGCTTGGTGGGAGGAACAGAGATACTACTGCCGGCCTCAGGGCCACCAAGGCAGAGGCCAAAATCGCTGCTTGGATAACTAGAGATTGACTAACACGTCCAACTTCACCAGAGAGGACCAAAAAGCAGGTGGAAAATCAGGAGTTAAAATCTATCCACAGTTTAAATCTACAGGTTAAAATCAAATGGGATTGGAAAGACAACCTACATATCAAGCTCAGCCTGCAGAGATATAACCATCGGTTACAGCCTCTTAAGTGTATGCTGCTAGTGTTCATTCATCAGTTAGACTCAGGCACAATCTTAAAACGTCTCTGGTGAAGAAAAGGCTGGGAAAAGGGGAGAAACAGGAACTGGAAAGCCACTGGCACTTGTCTGTGAACAATATGAGAAGAAAACAGCAAATTCATGTTTTCCAGTCAGCAGCTAGTCAAACCTCTAACAGTACGTAAGTGGTCAGAGAGGACAAGCCCTCTCATCCAGGGCTGAGAACAGGTTGTTTTGGCTGTCAAGCATTTTCAAAACAAGTTTTCTTGGTCTCATGACAGGTTGTGGCAAGAATAAGAAAATAAAAAGAGTGGAAGATCCCATGATCGCTGCCCTGGGCTTCCATGTGGGCTGGCCCTGCCTGCACAGTCAGGTTTGCCTTCAGTGTTCAGATGAAGCTGGTCTTAGGGTTAATACCACCTTGCCAGTGACACCATTGAACAAAGTGATTCCTCTAAGAACTCTCTGGCAGCCAGATAATTTTTCTAGTCTGGGAGGAATAGGTCAAAGTCACTCTTAAGCCCAAGGGTGCTATTCTGCTTGAACCTACGCCCTGCTTTGTTTTAATTTTTACCTCATGTTATGTGGATGAATTATTCCCCTGAAACCAAGGTGAAAAGCTATCTGCTCTGAGTTGGATTTTTCCATCTCAACCGCAGGACGCTTAGTCAGGGTGGGGCAAAGAAAGCAGTGAGGAGGCACTAATGGGGACGGCCATGAGCCGGCTGGTAGAGAAAGTGCCATTAGCTCCTAGCAGCAGTGGTCCTGCTCGCTGTTAGGAGAGGAGGGTCAAAGCATAAAGCTGAGCACGGCAGTGCCGAAGGACATGCAGCCAAGTGGGGGTCTGGGGGATACTCATCAGGTAATCCAGTGAAAATGCCCAGAAACCAACCAACAAGGGTGCCAAGAATACTCAGATCCCCTGAGCTATTACTGGAGAGCCCAAAGTAGTAGACAGACACCTAGACCTGAATTCAGACTCAAAATCTGTGACCTTGGGCAGAATTCTCCCTTGTTTCATTTCTAAAGTGAAGCAGCGAGATTATCTTTCTGGCTTCGATATCCATGATCCTTGGATTGCCAGGGCACAGTGCACTGAATCTGTTCCCATCACGTGTGGGTGGCTGTGTCAAGTCACTCACACACGCATCTCCCCACAAGGGACAACTCAAGTTCCCGCTGTGAGCAATGTTCCTGGAAGAAACTTGAAGAGGATGCTCTGCCCTGAGACGTGCTCGTATTCTATGAGACATGTTATCAGACCACAAAGGCTGTCTTCATTCTACCAATTGACTGTGGGAATGTTCTGAAGAAAGCAAAGAAAATCCCCCATAAGGCCTTTAAGTTGGAGGAGGGAAAGGCTGATGTGTGTTCTTGCCCAGACAGAGGGGGCTGAGGATATGTGAAGGCTGGGGTAAGACATTCTTCCTTGCTTCACCCCCGACTCCCACCCCCACCCCCACCCCCACCCCCACCCCCACTCCCACCCCCATTTCCACTCCCACTCCCACTCCCAAACATGCACAGTGGGACCCATTAGATTTGATGTCTCTACCCAGGAAGTGATTTGAAGGCCCTGCTCAAAGCCTGCTGCGTGGAGCCTTTATCACCCGAGAGACAAGGCTAGCAGGCAGGTGAGCCTCCTTCCCCAAATATGGGGAACAGGTTTGTTCTGGCTGATTCCTGACCTGCTCCTCAATACAGGATGCCTTGTTAAATCTGAATGTCAGATAAATGACTTTTTAGTATAAGTATGTCCTCAATACTGCATGGGGCATACTTACACTAAATTATTTGTTGTTTATTTGAAATTTAAGTGTAACTGGACATGTTGCATTTTTAATTGCTAAATCTGGCAATCCTAACTCTGAAGATCCAGAGTGGGGTCTCTAAAAGCCCTGGACATGGAGGCGGCAAAGAAGGGGTGAAAGAACCCAAGCCAAACATTCCTTTATAGTGTTCCATGAGCATGACCCTTAGTTTTTGACTGTGTTTATTAATATTTCCAAGGCCAAGAAGGATCTATTATGATTTACATATCAACACCAAAGCAGATCATTATACCAATATGTAATTTGTAAACTGACAAAAAACCTGGCTGGGTGAGGCGGCTTATGCCTGTAATCCCTGCACTTTGTGAGGTCAAGATGGGAGGATTGATTGAGCCCAGGAGTTAAAGACCAGCCTGGGCAACATAGTGAGACTCCACCTCTAAAAAAAAAAATAAAAAATAAATAAATAAATAAATAAAAAATCAGCCCAGTGCTGTTGCATGGACCTGTAATCCTGGTTACTTGGGAGGCTGAGGTGGGAGGATTGCTTGAGCCCAGGAATTCAAGTCTGCAGTGAGCTATGATTGTGCCACTGTACTCCAGCCTGGCAACAGAGTGAGACTCTGTCTCGAAAAGAAAAGAAAAGAAAAGAAAAGAAAAGAAAAGAAAAGAAAAGAAAAGAAAAGAAAAGAAAAAAGAACCACACACACAAAGAAATACCTTACTGCCTACAGAAAAAAAAAAGATAAAATGTTTTAGCATGGTGAACACCAACAATGTGCCAGGCATTTTACAATCATTTCAGCATTTAACACTCACAATCCTCTGTGAGAAAGCCAAGGCCCACAGAGATTTAAAAACAAACAAACAAACAAACAAACAAAAAACTCTACTAGACAGTGGTTGAACAAGGACTTGAATTCCAGCTGGTCTGATTCCAGAGGGCATGTTCTCTGTACCCTGCATATCTCCTCCCCTCTCCTTCTCTCCCTTCCCTTCCCCTTTTCCCCTCCTCTCCCCTCTCCTCTCCTTCCTTCCTTCCCTCCCCCCTTTCCCCTCCCCTCCCCTTCCCTTTCTTTCTTCTCTCTCTCTCCTTCTCTCTTTCCTTTCTTTCTTTTCCCTCCCTCCCCACCTTCCTTCTTTTCTCTTTTCTTTTCTTTCCTGCCTTATCTACTGCTCTTGTCTTCAGTGGACACCGGCATACCTCCTGGAACCCCCATGCTTCCCATCTTCTGGGCCTTTGTGCACTCTGTTTCCTCTGGAGGAGTGTCCTCCCCTCTCTGCACATCAAATCCTACCCAGCCTCCAATTTCAGCTTCCTGGGTCCCAGTAAACAGACATAATCTTCTTTCCTCGACTCCTAGTGCTCTTTCCCTGCACGTTGCCACCTTAAAGAGAAGAATCTATGTGCAATTCTCATCCCTCCTCTAGTTCACCGAAAGCAGGGACTGTATCTTACACATCACTTAACATCGTACCTAACACCTAGTTTGAATTCAATAAACATCTGCTGAATGAATGAATGGGAAAAGTGATCTAGGCTAGTGATCTGGGCAAAATCTAATTAAATGTTAGCCACTACAAATCCACACTGGGGCATGCCAAACCTGAGTGTCAACCAAGGCAAACAGCCTAGACCCTGCAGTTCTAAACAGAGAGCTGAGCTCAGCTGCCTGGTGAATTTGGGATAACTCAGACCTTAATCTGAGGAAAAGAGGTGGTGCAGTATGAAACCAATCTAAAAGTTGGGAAAGCCAAGGTATATGCTCAGTTCCTACACTAAGTGACTCTGTGACCTTGAATACGTCCCTTCCTTTTGCAGGGTCTCAATTTCATAACCCGTAAAATAGGTGTAATAGCAGTACCTAGCTCATAAGGTTGTTACGAGAATTACAGAAATTAAAAAACATAAAGCACTTAGAGCTATGCTGGTGTACTATAATTATTCAATACATTTTACAATTCTTATTGTCTGTAAGGTGATTAGGAGGCACTGGGTGACCCATTGTTTATTCTGAGAAAATACGTGATCTTGCCCTTATATGCACGTTCCTGTAATGCTCACTTTTCTGGATACCTGGAATAATGACAGTTTAAGGATTATCCAGTCTCCCAAATGATCAATAATGCAAAACTGGGGTTTTCTACATTTTGATTTTGATTGTTAGAAGAACTACATAGCTTCCTGCTTTGCAATTCGGACTGTACTCAGTCTGCTGAGTAGTTAATGCCGTGGACAGCCTCACTGTCAGAATGTAATCTCAAGCAGCGATGGACCATTCCAGAAATCAATCAGTAGGCTTTGAGTTGGTGCTCTTCAAAATGTGTGTGTGTTAGTCTTCAGTGCTTTGTACATATTCTGCATATAGTGAGCTCTTACACGTTTGCTGAAGAGATTTAGCAGTAACTTAACTGCAGCTACACACAGACTGTAGGCTTACTAGTTGCTTCTGGATCAACTAGGAAACCACTGTTCTGCCCAATTCTCACAATCATGGCTGCTCTAAAGGCTGTTCTTCCGAGTGTCAAGGCCCCGCTACCTGGCAACTCAGCCCTGCCCACTCATGGCACACAAGGAGACAAACAAACTACTTTTTTTCCTCAGAAGTGACTTTGGATTACAGACTACCCTAGCTCACCCCCACCCCATTTCTGCTTTCTTGGCTTCGATTTTCCATTAGGCATGACTAAGTGCCAGAGGTTCTGTCTGTCTGGGAAAATAGGAGTCACTGGAATTTTCTATCCTCTTCTCAATGTGCAGCCTCCCTGCTGCTTTGGAGATAGCAGTAAAGTGATGTCTTTCCTTTGGCGCATTCCATTACAATACTCCTTCTTCTCTTTTGCCCATAGACGCTAGTAATAAGTTTGGCCACAGAAGCATGTTACCTTCTCTTAAAAGTACTTGGTTTTTAGACTCTCAGCAGGGTTATTTCTGCTCACAAACACCCTGGGTTTTCCCCATGGGCACAGAGGCCTTCAGCCTCCTGGGTGAGCCACTAGGAAGAAGGCACCCATGCCAGGCCACTCCACGGGTAGGTGGATGTGTACGTGGTGCAGGCTAAACTCCTGCCCTTGATGATTCTGTGCTGCTCCTGTGAGCAAGGGAGCAGGAAAGAGGGGAAACGTAGGAGGTCAGAGGTGGCTTGGGCTGGGCTTTGGACCAGTAATCAGGGGCATAGGGTTCTAATCTTGATACTGTATGCCTTGCACAAATTCTTCTAGGAAATGAAAATGATGAACTGAAAGTCAACTCTATGCCAATCACTGTGCTTAAAGGTCTATATCGATTATTTCATTGAATGTCTATCACAATAGTTAATGCTTACCATATTTAGACCTGGCAGTACTAGATGATCTCTAAAGTTCCTTCCATGTTCCATGTTCTGTGACTGGCCCCCACTGTCACACTTAACTTCCCAGGATGCATTCCTACTTAGTCACCCAACTTATCTCTGCTGTTGGTTGTGGATTTTGCAGGACAGTGGAGTAGAGGTAACTGCCCCAGTGAGTTTTCTAAATTTTGGTTTTGATTTTTAGAAGAACTACGTAACTTCCTGCTTTGTAATTCTGAGTTGTACTCAGTCTTCTGAGTAGTTAATGCCATAGATAGCCTCATTGTCAGAATGGAATCTCAAGGAGTGACAGACCATTCCAGAAATCAATCAGTAGGCTTTGAGTTGGGGCTCTTCAAAATACGTGTGTGTGGTAGTCTCCAGTGCTTTGTACATACTCTGTATATAATGAGCTGGATGGTACCTGCTTCCCATTTTTGCTCACCTCTGTAAATCCTCTACTTTAATAAGGCATGAATCTAGTTCATTTTCACAGGTGGCCCTTGTGCTGAATGATCTGACAAAAGACAAGACAGAATCTTGTTTCTGCAGAAGCAAGGCCTCTGCTTGTCATTATGATATGCACACAATGGACAATCCTGATGGTTCTTTGATGCTTCCCTTTTTTCTAGAATTCATGCCTTAATGAGAAGTGATAGAAACAAGCGGCTTGGCCCTCCTGCCTTGGCTGGACTCCACATCACTCATGACAGCCCTGAGCAGCCCTGGCGGCACCTGTCATAAACTAACACACACATCTGAACAGTCAAGCCTAATTCCTAAGAAGCTGTTTTAACTTGACATCTGAAAATGTATTGCATCTAGAATTATTTTATTGGGTGTGTGTTCAGGGCATATGTGTGCACGTTCTGCAACTGAAGTGTTCTATAAATATCAGATACGAGCTGTACAAAAAGGCATCACGTACACGGTGTACTTAATTCCATTTAGTAATGTTTTCAATTTGTGTCTGACCTCCGGCAACAGAGATGGAAGTTTCTCAACATGAATAAAAAAGTATGCTCAGCTACCTTAAACAATTTTCACTTAAAATTCCAGAAATATATTAGAGCTTAGTGATTACCAGGTGGGTACTAGCCCAGTACTTTCAGAGGAAGGTACTGAAGTCCAGAAAGGTGACGTGTCTTTTCCATGATCACGAAGGAAATTAATAATGGTCCCTAGATGAGACCCAGGTCACTTGACTCCCAGGCCACTATCCTTTGCTTTTTCTTGACTTACTGTACGTTTCTTCCCCCAGCTGTTCAAAAGGAACTCTGATTCCATTAATAGCATATGTTCCTACTATGGTTTATCATAAAAATCCCAAACCAGCTCCTCTACCCTTTCCTTTCTAACTCTATAGGACACCTGTCTATTTTTCCAGGAAAGAGAATACGTGACCCTAACTCACAAGCAAGGAAGTTGCTCTCCTTGGTGATCCCAAACACTTCCCCAGTGGCTGGCGGGGTAATTGGAACCCAAGCTTGAACACTCGATTGTTCTTTTTTTTTTTTTTTTTTTGAGACAGGGTCTCATTCTGTCGCCTAGGCTGGAGTGCAGTGGCGCGATCTCGGCTCACTGCAAGCTCCGCCTCCCGGGTTCACGCCATTCTCCTGCCTCAGCCTCCCAAGTACCTGGGACTACAGGTGCCCACCACCACACTCGGCTAATTTTTTGTATTTTTAGTAGAGGCAGGGTTTCACCATGTTAGCCAGGATGGTCTTGATCTCCTGACCTTGTGATCCGCCTGCCTCGGCCTCCCAAAGTGCTGGGATTACAGGCGTGAGCCACCGCGCCCAGCCCACTCAATTGTTCTTGAAAGGGCACACCTGAGTTAATTTTCCTGACAAAGATGTGCTGACCTTCCAGTTACTCTTTTTTTCTTTATTTTTATTTTTGAGACGGGGTCTTGCTCTGTCACCCTGGCAGGAGTGCAGTGGCACGATCTTGGCTCACTGCAACCTCTGCCTCCCCGGTTCAAGTGATCCTCCTGCCTCAGTCTCCTAAGTAGCTGGGATTACAGACGCCCGCCATCATGCCTGGCTAATTTTTGTATTTTTAGTAGAGACAGGGTTTCACCATGTTTCCCAGGTTGGTCTTGAATTCCTGACCTCAGGTGATCCACCTGCCTCGGCCTCCCAAAGTGCTGGGATTACAGGTGTGAGCCACCACGCCCAGCCCAGTTACTCTTTCTGTGTGACTATCCTGATAAGCTGAGTTCAGTGCAGCTTCTTCTGGCTTGTGTGACTGAGGCCAGAACAAAAGCCCTAACTGTTTTCCACTGAGAAAGCAGGATAAACAGGGGGTGCAGTCTTTAAAACTGCTCTCAGAGAAGCTTCCAGTGGAACCAAAGGAATACAGATGGAGGGCCTGGGGAGAGATGGCCTGAGGGGACCTGCAGAAGGGATTTACCTGCTGCCCCTCCCCCAGGGGAGCCAGGAGACTGAGCTGGGCTGTAAACACTCCGTGCCTGGTGCAGCCTGGTCTGCACAGGCTGAGAGGATGGTGAGTGGCTTCCTCTGGGATGAGGGCTGTATTGGCAGTAATTGATGGCCAGGCTTTTCAATGGAGCTTATCATTTCACTGCAACAGATGTCAGGTTCTAATAAATAACACGTTCTCACTGACCTATGCAATTTGGAGAGGATGCCTGGATGTCAGGCAGAGCTGGATTCCTCCCCATCTCTGTTGCTCTCTCTTCTGTAAGGAAAAACAAACCAAATCCCTTTAAGATACTTTTCAAAAGGGTTCAAGGATCCAATAATTCCACGTTATTTATATGATTTGCTTTTCTCTTCACAGCTCTACTTCTAAACCCCATAAGGAAAAGGCCCAGGAGGGACGGGTGAGCTTGCTCGTGCGGAATGGAAGGCCTTGGTGACCTCAGTCCCCAATTCCTGTGTCGCTCACCAGCACTGACTTTATTGTCTTCTCGGGGGCTCTGATCACCCGAGCTATGTTGGCCTGGGCCTGGAAAACTCCCTCATCTCTCTTGTGGGGAGTTCAGCTGAGATGAGGTTGGTTCAGCTGGTTGTGCTGGTACCAAGAAGATACAACCACAGGGGATGACAGTCCATTAATGGGGTGGCCTTAAACTTTGGGAACTCTAGCCAAGTTACCGAGGTTAAGGGACTGTTTACTGGGGTACATATGATGGTATCAATATTGACTCTGCTTTTAATTTAAAAATCTCCTCTTTTTCTCTAGGGATGTTGCTGCTGATAGCTAAAAATGATCAAATTCTTACCATATGCCAGACCTTATGCTGGACAATTCACTGACATTATCCCACGTAGTAGGCAGAATTCTAACGTGACCCCCAAGATTCTCCACCTTCTGTGTAATCCCCAGGATTGTGAATGTGATGGATTTCATTCTGGTAAACAGGTTTTGTTATATGGCACAGATGACTTTAAGACAGGGAGGCTTTAAATCTGTGACTAGCAGAAGACATATGGAAGGCAGAGATTCAAAATATAAGAGGGATCTGACGCACCACTACTGGCTTGAAAATGGAGGGGACCACATGGCAGAGGACGCACGCAGCCTCTAGTTGCTGAGGGTGGTCTCCAGTTGACAGCGGCAAGGTAACAGGGGCCTCAGTCCTACAACCACAAGGAACTGAACTCTGCCAACATACTGAAAGAGCTTGAAGGAGGAGCATAAGCCTCAGGGGTGAGATCATAGACCCAGACAAAGCCTTGATTTTAGTTGCCTAAAACCCCGAACTGAGAACCCAGGCATCTTGAGTGGGACTCCTAACCCACAGAAACTGTGAGATTAATAATTAGTGGCGTTTTAAAAGGGTTAACTTATGATATTTTTAAAATTAGCAACACAGAAAATCATACACCCCATGTGATACCCATCATAACCCTCTCAAGTAGGCTTCACCATTTTATAGACAAGGAAACAAAGACCCAGGGAAATTAGGAATTTGCCCAAAGTCACATAGCCTGTGAGTGGCAGAGACAGGTTTAAACCCAGCTATGTCTTGACTTTATGGTCAGTGCTCTTCATTGCCTCATGCATTTCCTCTCTGTATGAGAAGAGAGCCTCAGACACATGGTGAAAAGAGTATGGAACTGTTTCTGTCTGCCTGGGTGTGGATGTGCAGAAGGGTCAGAGGACCTATGCTTTTGTTTTGGTTTTAAATGGTGAAAAGACATATACATAGAATCAACTAGCTGGATTCAGTTTAGATGATCCCAATATGCCTTCTTCTCTCCATCAGGCCTGATCAGGGTGTTGGCTTTGGCCACAGCAGTGTCACTGAGCTTCTTCACAGCCTGTTTGATCTGGTGCTTGTTGGCTTTGACATCCACAATGGACACAAGTTGTGTTGTTGTCTTCTATCTTCTTCATGGCTGACTCAGTGGTTGGGGGAACCTGATGATGAATTATTGGTCAAGCTTGTTTCTCCTGGGAGTGCTCTTCCAAGCATATTTCTGCTGCCTGCAGAGCCACACTGTCTTGGGCCACTGGCAGGTGGGTGATGTGTGGATTGGATCTTCTTTTTGTGGCTGTGGACACCTTTAAGCACTGCCTTCCTGGCCTTCAAAGCATTCGCTTTGGCTTCAGCTTTGGGAGGGGCAAGAACTTTTTTCACTTTTGGTGCCATAATGTGAAAATGAGGACCTATGTTGAGCCCTCACTCCTCTAGAAGCCAGCTGTGTGCCCTCGGCAAAGTCAATTAATCACTCTGAGCCTCAGTTTTTATAATCTGTATGAGGCCTACTAAGAATTTCTGCATTATAACCCTTGAAGGGCTGCAGCTGATGATCCCATAAAAGTGTGTGAGGGGCCACTGTGAATGAAGTCCACAGGGCAGACAGAGGCACCTGGATGTCATGTAGATATCATTTTCTTTTCTTGATGACTGCCAATTTCAATGTCCTCTGCCTATAGGCTGGATATGGTCACTCTGATGGCTTATTTGGAGGAAGTAATTTTAAATAGGTTTTTTTTTTAGAGGAAATGATTATTTATTACATTTATTGAAAAACTACAGAATAAGATGGAAGGTAATTTTTCTTTTTTTCTTGAATTCTTTAAAAGTTAGTTGACTATTAAAAGCCAAAGTAATAACAATGTATTGTGGAATTCATAAAATACGAAGACTGAAAGTGTGTGAATATGACAGCACAAAGATAAATAGAAGGTACACAGATAATTACACTGTTTATACAGGAAGCATTATAATATTAATTCACGGTAGGCTGTGATAAGTTAACGGTGTATTTTTAGTGTATAAATGACTAAAATATACAAAGAAATATAGCTAACACACCAACAGAAGAGAAAATGGTAAACTAAAAAATACTTTAATAAACTGAAAGAATACAGGAAGAAAAGGACAAAGGAATAAAAAAAAAAAACCCAAACCAAAAATATGAATAGAAAGACTGTAGGGCTTAAACCCAGTAAGCTTATTATTTATATTAAATGTATAAATAAATGAAATACTCCAATTAAGGCCAGGTGTGGTGGCTCATGCCTGTAAGCCCAGCACTTTGGGAGGCCAAGGCAGGTGGATCACTTGAGGTCAGGAGTTTGAGACCAGCCTGGCCAATATGGCAAAACCCCATCTCTACTAAAAATATAAAAAATAGCCAGGTGTGGTGGTGTGCGCCTATAGTCCCAGCTATTTGGGAGGCTGAGGCAGGAGAATCACTTGAACCCGGGAGGCAGAGGTTGCAGTGAGCCGAGATCACGCCACTGCACTCCAGCCTGGGTGACAGAATAAGACTCTGTCTCAAAAAAAAAAAAAAAAAAAAAAAAAAAAAGGCCAGGTGTGGTGGCTCATGCCTGTAATCCCAGCACTTTGGGGGGCCAAGGCAGGTGGATCATGAGGTCAGGAGTTCAAGACCAGTCTGGCCAACATGGTGAAACCCCGTCTCTACTAAAAATACAAAAATTAGCCAGGCAATAGTGGCGCGAGCCTGTAGTCCCAGCTACTCGGGAGGCTGAGGCAGGAGAATTGCTTGAACCCAGGAGGTGGAGGTTGCCATGAGCCGAGGTCACACCACTGCACTCCAATCTGGGCGACAGAGTGAGACTCTGTCTCAAAAAAAAAATTAAAATAAAAAAATAAAAAAGAAATACTCCAATTAAAAGGCAGACATGTTAAGACTACATTAAAAAACCCAAGGTCTACAAAAGGTTTCTTTCAAATATAAAGACACAGACAGGATAAAGAAAGGATGAAAAAAATATATACCATGTAAAAAATACACAGAAGAAAGCTGGTGTAACAATTTTAATATCAAATGGAGCAGATTTCAAGTCAAAGAATATTGCCAGAAATAGAGTCATCTCATAATGATAGAAGGACCAAGTTATTGAGAAGACCTAACAATTCTAAATATGTATCTAAAAATAAAGCTTTAAGATATAAAAAGTAAAAATTAGCAGAAGGGGAGAAACAGACGAATCCAAAACCCCACAGGTGAAAATGTTAATACCTCCTTTCAATAACTGATACAATAGACATAAAAAAACAGTAAAGAGCTAAAAGATTTGAATAACACTAACAAGTAATTTAACTTAGTTAATGTATATATAGAACACTATACCCCAAAACTGCAGGACACACATTCTTTTCAGGTTTACATGGAATATTTATCAAGATAGATCACATGCTGGTCTACAAAACAATTCTCAACAAATTCCAAAGGCTTGAAATCATACAGGTTATGATCTCTGACCAAAACCGAATTAATATAAATCAATAAGATATTTAGAAAAGTCTTTCTAAACACTTGAAATTCAAGAAGCACAACTATAAATAACCCATGGTTCAAGAAGAAATCACAAGGGAAATCAGAAAATATTTCTAATAAAATAATAATGAAAAATAACATACAAAACTTTGTGGAATGCAGCTTAAGCAATCTGTAGAAAGTAATTTTATATTAAAAAAGAAAAAAGGATTAAAATTGTGACCTAAGCTTCTACTCTAAGAAACTTGAAAAGGAAGACATTAGAAACAATGTATTGCCAATCACTTTGACAACTTAGACATGATGGATCAATTTCTTATTAAAAAACCTAGCTTGCTAAAATGAACACAAGAAGAAATACAGCAATCTGAATATCCCTACATTTACTAAAGACACTAAATATTTTTTGCACAAAGGAAACCCTACCAAACATTTGGAAAGAAATAATACTAAATCTGCACAAACTCTTTCAGAAAACAAGGGAGGAAGGAATACTTTCCAGTTTATTTAATGAAGCCAGCATAGTACTGATACCAAAGACCTGACAAGGACAAACACAAGAAAAGAAATTTTAGACCAATATCATTCATAAATGTAGATGTAAAAATCTTAAAATTTTAGCAAATCAAATTTAATAATATAAAACAGGATAAAATCATGACCGAGAAGGGTTTATCTTTGGAATGCAAGGTTGGTTCAACATGCAAAAACTAAATAATGTAATTCACATTAACAGAATAAAGAAAAACCACATGATTATGTCAATGTCAAAAGATGCAGAAAAAGCAATCTATGGAATTCAACACCCATTCATGATAAAAAAAGAAAAAAAGAAAACCTCTTAGCAAAGTAGTAATACAAGAATTTCTTTAACGTGATAAAGACATCTATGTAAAACCTCAACATTAGCCTTAATAGAGAAACATACAGCTAGATTCTGCTCTTATCACTTATGTAAAAAATTGTACTGGAGGTCCTATTCAGTGCAAGTAGGTGGAAAAAGAAACAGAAAAACATAAAGATTGGAAGGAAAGAAGTAAAGCTGTTAGCATAAGGCGTGACTGTTTATGTAAGAAATTGCAGGCTGGGCGTGCTGGCTCATGCCTGTAATCCTAGTGCTTTGGGAGGCCAAGGCAGGTGGATTGCCTGAGCTCAGGAGTTCAAGACCAGCCTGGGCCACATGGTGAAATCCCGTCATGCCTGTAATCCTAGCACTTTGGGAGGCCAAGGCAGGTGGATTGCCTGTGCTCAGGAGTTCGAGACCAGCCTGGGCAACATGGTAAAACTCCGTCTCTACTAAAAAAAAAATACAAAAAATTAGCCTGGCGTGGCAGCGTGTGCCTGTAGTCCCAGCTACTTAAGAGGCTGAAGCAGGAGAATTGCTAGAACCTGGGAGGTGAGGTTGCAGTGAGCCAAGATAATGCCACTGCATTCCAGCCTGGGTGACAGAGTGAGACTCCATCTCCAAAAAAAAGAAAAAAGAAATTATAAGAAATCTATTTAAAAAATCTATTAGATTTTAGTAGTAATAAGTGAATTTAGCAATGTCACAGGATGCCATGTCAGTATAGAAAAATCATTTGTATTCCTGTATACCAGCAACAAACTAGAAAATAAATTTTTAAAAATTTTGTTTATATTTTTATATATTTATAAATATTTTATATTTATATTTTTATATAATTTACAATAAAAGCAAAAACAGGTGGAATGCAGTGGCTCATGCCTGTAATGCCAGCACTTTGGGAGGCCGAGGCGGGTGGATCACCTGAAGTCAGGAGTTTGAAACCAGACTGGCCAACATGCCAAAACCCTGTCTGTACTAAAAACACAAAAATTGGCCGGGCATAGTGGCGGGCGCCTGTAATCCCAGCTACTAGGAAGGCTGAGACAGGACAATCACTTGAACCTGGGAGGTGGAGGTTGCGGTGAGCCAAGATCATGCCATTGCACTCCAGCCTGGGTGATAAAAGCAAAACTTTGTCTCAAAAAAATAAATAAAAATACAAAAATTAGCTGGGTGTGGTGGCACACGTCTGTAGTCCTGGGTACTCAGGAGGCTGAGGCACAAGAATCTTTTGAATCTGGGAGGCAGAGTTTGCAGTAAGCCAAGATTGCGCCACGGTACTCTAGCCTGGGCAACAGAGCAAGACTCTGTCTCAAAAAAAAGAAAAAGAAAAACATTTAAAAATATTTCAAGATTTCTACATTGAAATATTTTAAAAATTTCTGAGAAACTAAAGACCTAAATAAAACCATGTTCATTGATTCAGTATTATAAAAGATTCAGTATTGTAAAAATGTCAATTCTTCCCTTGTTGATCAGCAGGCTTTTGGTGGGGGGGGCGTTGGAGTGGGGAGAGGTGGGAATTGGCAAGCTGATTCTAAAAGATATATAAAAATGCAAAGGACCTAGAATAGCCAAAACAATCTTTAAAAAGAACAAGCTTGGATACCTTTCCTGATTTCAAGAAATATTGGTATACCTTTCCTGATTTCAAGAAATATTGGTATACAAACCTATCAATGGAACAGAATAGAGTATCCAGAAATAGATCCACTCACATGTGGTTAATTGACTTTTGACAAAGATGTAAAGGTAATTCAACAGGGAAAGAAAAGTATTTTCAACAAATGGTGTTGTAATATCTGGATACATATGAACAAAAAATTAACCTTGGCATCTACCTCATATCATATACAAAAATTAATTTGAGATGGATCATAGGCCTATGTATCAAAACAAAAGCTTCTAGAAGAAAACATAGGATAATTTCTTCATGACCTTCTAGTAGGCTAATAATTTTGAGTATACAAAGAGCATTAACGTAAAAAACAGATTTCATTTAAAAAATGAAGATTTTCTGCTCATCAAAAGACACTCTTAAGAAATGAAAAGGGCAGGAATAGTGGCTCACACCTGTAATCCCAAGATTTTGGGAGGCTGCGGCGGGAGGATCAAGGATCACTTGAGCCCAAGGGTTCAAGACCAGCCTGGGCAACATAGCGAAATATTGTCTCTATTAAAAAAAGGAAAAAGAAAATGAAATGGCAAGCCACAGATTGAAAGACGATACTCACAAAAAATATATCTGACAAATATATAAAGAAACTCATATATACAACTCATTAATAAAAAGACTAACAACCAAATTAAAAATAGGCAAGATTTGAACAGACATTTCATGAAAGAGATAAACCAATAAGCACATGCCAAGATGCTCAACATCATTTATCACCAGGAAATGTAAATTAAAAACATGAGATCTTACTTTATCCTCTCTAGAATGGTACAATTTAAAAAGACTGACAATAGGATGTGTTGGTGAGAATGTGAAGCAACTGGAACCCTGGCATATTGCTGATGGGAGGGTAAACCGATACCACTTTAAAAAAGCTTGTCACCTTCTCATAAAGTTAATCACATATGTACTCCCACTCCCAAGTATTTACCTGAAGAAAGGAAAACACATGTCTACAAAAAGGCTTGGTCATAGCAGCTCTATTAATAAAATCCTCAACCTGGAAACAACACAAGTATCTACACATGGGTGAATGGATTAATACATTATATTCATATAATAGAATATTACTCAGCAGTAAAAAAGAAATGCCATAACAGATACATTTTTTTTTTTTTTTTGAGATGGAGTCTCGCTCTGTCACCCAGGCTGGAGTGCAGTGGTGTGATCTTGGCTCACTGCAACCTCCGCCTCCTGGGTTCAACAGATTCTCCTGCCTCAGCCTCCGGAGTAGCTGGGATTATAGGCTTGTGCCAGCATGCCCTGCTAATTTTTGTATTTTTAGTAGAGATGGGGTTTTCCCATGTTGGCCAGACTGTTCTCGAACTTCCTACCTCAGGTGATCCGCCCGCTTCAGTCCCCCAAAATGCTGGGAGAACAGACGTGATGACTGCTCCCGGCCACCATAACAGCTAAATCTTAAACAATTATGTTGAATGAAATGAAGATAAATTTCATTGTGTCAGACACAAAAGAGTATGATCTGTATTATTTCATTTAGAAGTATCTAAAAGAAAAAACTAAGACAGGGTGATACAGAACAATAGTTGCCTTGAGAGTAAAGAGACTATTTGGAAAGAGGCTATAAGGTAACTTCGTCAAAACTTGTCAAAAGATATACTTAAAACCTGTCCACTCCATTGTATATAAATTATACTGTAATTTTAAAAAAAGATATATATGCAAAGCCATTTCCTTCAAAGTACTCATGGTTTGGTTAAGGAAACAAAATATATATGAAGATGTGAAGAACTAAAAGAAAATACCAAAGAGATTCCAAAGCAGTATGTGATTAGAGTCAAAGGAGACTGGGAGGGGAGAGAGCTGCTGGCAAAGTAGAGTGGATGGGAAAACCCATATGGGAGAAGGTTGAAGGATGTGTCTGTTTGAGGGGGCAGAAAGAGGGTGGGAGGAAAGGCGTGAGCAAAGGCACTGAGGTACACAGCAGAAGCTAAAACCCATGGTCTTCCAAGTGTTAACTTGCTGGCCTCTCATAGCAAGTCCATCCAATAGGGAGGAGTACAGTCCTGTTTTAGGAATGAGGTTCAGAGAGGTTAAGAGCTCTGCCCAAGACCACAGAGCTTGCAGGATTAGACTTTGCAATAGCAACTGGGGCACACATGACCCCAAAGCCTGTGCTCACCTTGTAAATGCTGCTTCACTTGCGAGGGACAGAATCTGCTAGACAGCCATGAGAAAGAAAGAAGCACATGTGGTAGGAAAAGCCCTGGTCAGTGCCAGGAAGTGTCCTTTCTGAGGTTACATTGTTTAGAATTTTGCTCTACAGGAGGGAATAAACAGCTGATTCCACTCAAAAGGCTCCACTGCTGTTCATAAACCATGAGAGTGTTTATGTCATGGGCAGAGCTCCCCAAGTGAATTATAGCCTTTTACGCACTGTGTACGTACAGTATTTTCACAGGACAAAGAAACAGGGTGTGGAAGGAATGCTACAGTTGACCCTCCTCTCTTTCCATCCTTTGTCTTCAACCTTCTCCACCAATCTCAAGACTATACTGCAGGACAGTTCTTTCACGGTGTTTATCTGGCTTTCTGACACAGCACAGGGTGGTTACTCAGTTCAGCTGAAGAATGGAAACTTAAACTATTTCTTCTTGCTAGCACGAGCTGCTGGCTTTCTCTTTTATTACATTTAAAATGGATCCATCTTCGCTACAGTAGAAAGCAGATTTTTTAAACATTACTTCAGATGTTTTCTTTAGACTGGTGTTAACATAAAGCAAATGTCTCTTGAAACTCTGAACCAATCTGTTAAGATAAACAGGCTTCACTTACGATATTCCTATACTGAAATCACGGGCTTGTGGTCTGCAACTTCTTAAAGACTCAATTCATACTTGCTAAAATGTCTACTTAGGAAACACACACACACACATACACACCAAGATAGCTTTGCCATGGAAACCACAAAGACACATCTGGTTCAGCACGTACCACAAATAATGCCCATCTTCTTAGGGCAGATCCTATGTATACACAAGGAAAGCCCAGAAAATTAAACGATATCAATACTTCAAGCATAAAACATACTTCATAATTCCTTTTTTCCATTGTATTTCAGGATGTGTAAGTCTTAATCATTGTTACTTGTTATATTTGCATATGCTTGTTTTTGTCCTGAATGGGATTTCAGACTTGGGTGTCACGGATAAAAAGAGAAAATAAAGGGAAAGAAGAAGGCACATTAAAGTTTCAGATAACAACTCTGGATTCTGCATATAAATCTGAGGCAGTCTGGTTTCTAGAAGAAGACACCCTGACATTATTTAAGAATCTCAGGCTGGGCGCAGTGGCTCACACCTGTAATCCTAGCACTTTGGGAGGCTGAGGTGGGCGGATCACCTGAGGTCAGGAGTCCGAGACCAGCCTGGCCAACATAGCAAAACCCCATCTCTACTCAAAATACACAAATTAGTCCGGCGTGGTGGCACATGCCGATAGTCCCAGCTACTCAGAAGGCTGAGGCAGGAGAATTGCTTGATCCTGGGAGGTGGAGGTTGCAGTGAGCCGAGATTGCACCACTGTACTCCAGCCTAGGCAACAGAGCAAGATTCTGTCGCAAAATAAAATAAAATAAAATAAAATAAAAAGTTATCAAGCCTGCTATAAGTGAAAGTCTTGTACTACAGAAAAATATAGGTGAGGTCAGGAGGCCCCATGGAAGGGAATGGGGTCTCTCTGGGAGGGGGAGGCAAGAACAGGAAGTCCTACTAAGTTCTTGATTAGTCATGGCTAATCAAGAACATTCCAGATCTGGAGGTCCAGGTTTTGTTAGTAGGTACTTTGAAATTGTCAGAAGTTTCATATGATAAAGGCTTTATCTTCTTTGCTGGGCTATAAATTCCATGAAGACAGGGACAATTTCTAATTCGTTTATCATTATATTCCTAGCATTGAGCACAATGCTTGGAACATGGTAGATGCTTAATAAATACTGGATGAGCAAATGAAGAGGAGGCCTAATAGATAGTCTATATTTGTGTGATACTTTGGATCTGATCATCCTTCAGCTGGGATCACAGGTGTGAAGCATATGACTGTTCCAAGCGATAAAGTTATAACCACATGCACTCTTCGATTTATTTTTGGAAACTATGATTTTGATCCACTGCTTCTTCAATCTAGGAGGTCATGGTTTATGAAGACTGATGTTCCAGACACCAAAGTCTTAAATATAAAAAACACTCAGCATATTTCTATATTTACCTATTCTGTATGACTGAAGTGAGGCCTTCCACACTGAGAGGTTCATGAGCAATAGTTGTACCTCTAAACTCCAAACTTTAGCTAACTTCGACCTCTATGAAATCCTACTTCCATATCTATTCTAATAGCCCTAAGCTATTTGTGTAGCTGTTTATTTGACCAAGAAATACACAGGTCCTACTTTGGGCAACAGCTATGGTATACACTGCAGAGACGCAATGAGGTATAGAATTCAGAGATTCATTTCCATATGAAAGAGTAGCTACCGGCTCCAGGTGTTGACTACTAAGCAAAAATTGTTTGTTTACTGCCACCTGAAATTTTCCATTTTTTAAAAAACTATAAAAAGTAGCTGCCAACATTTTCATCATTTATGCCATTTACCCACAACTCGAATTCCTATTTAGTATTTATCCTCTACTCTAAATAGAGAGGTAGTTTTCTGATAAATTCTACATTCCATGAAAAAAAACAAAAGCTGTCATGGCTAATTTTAGAGACCAACAGAAACAGTAGAAAAAGGAAACACTTTCAGATGTAGATCAGCTTCTTCCTGATGAAGCTACAAAGGGCCAAACAGTAAATATTTTTTGTTTTCTAGGCCATCCAGTCTCTGTTGCAACTACTCACTCTGCCACTGTAGCATTAAAGCGGCCACAGATAATAAGTAAAGAAATGGGTGTTGCTGTGTTTCTATAAAACTTTATTTACAAAAACATGCACAGGGCAGGAACTAACCTGCAAGCAGTAGCTTGCCAACCCCTGGACTAGATAAACAAAATGCTCTTACCTGTTGGAAATAACGACAGATTCACTTACTTTGCTCTTTTGGCCATTTCATTTCCATCCCATCTGGGGCTGTACGGATAATTTTTTTGGGCCTGGGAGTAAAGCTGTCCACTGTTGGTAAAGTGATAAACGGACTGAAATGTGAGAGTTGGCTGGTCTCGAGGGAAAAACAGAGGCAGGTCAACTGCAAAGACAGAAGAAAGAAAAAGAAAGTTAGAGCATAAACACATCTTAAGATTTTTTTTTTTGACTAAATCCGAATGTTAGGTACGAAACTCTATTTGAACCACAAATACTGCTTGCAGTTTGGATGAAAGGTGTGGTGTATAGAGAGGCACCAAGAAATACAAAGTGACTTCTCCATCTTCGAGGAGTTTATAATCTAGAGGCAAATCACACGTGGGTGAAAATGTCACCAATAGAAGGCATGATGTGTAGGTGCTGTAAGAATGCTTTGAAATGGTCACAGAAGCTTAGGGAAGGATGCTTGGGTGCCTGCAACCATCTGACATTCCTCTCTAGCACTTCCCGGGATCAATATTCCATAGCAGAGTTCTCTTTCTATCTGTTTTAAGTGTCTATTATAACATAAACTCTTCAAGGGTTGGGCAATGTATTCCACATCTATAATTTGATGGAGGCAGTGGGACAGAGGCTGTTTTTCAAGAATGCATTTGGAGAAGCGGTAAGAGTGCAGGTGATAATCTTTCTACTTTATAGGATATGGCAACCAGACTACCAGGAAAAATGAAGTTATCACTCTACTTCCAATCAAGCAGTGAATTTTGATACTCAGCAGTTTCAGTTTTTTCCATATGCATTACCACATATATTTATATCTCCTAAATCAGTGGGAGTTCCTTAATGGAACGCATAAGGTACTACTCTGAGCACTAAATATGTTTGCTGTGATAGTACAGGCTAATTCCAATCCTTGCTGTTAACATGTGTTATATGCTTTATCTTTCATTTTGGGGTTCTTTAACTCAATTTTTAAAAGTAAACTGACTTGTTATTAGTTGAGGCAAATCATCATTAAAAACACAGACTGTTTCAATAACACATTCTTAAAGGTATATAACGTATATGTGTATGAATGTTATCCACTTCTAGGACAAAGAATAGGAACAGCATAAAAATAATAAGAAAAACAAGTATAGAATTTTCTAGATTTACAGGGTATCTTTATACACGTTATCTGATTTGTTACTTAGAACTCCATGACAGAGACATTATCTTCAACATTTGCATTTAACAGGTGAGCAAACCAGAGACTCTAAGAGGTATATTAACTTGCTCATGTCATAGTCAGGCAGGGGCAAGACTCAAATCTAGTCCCATGATTCAAACATTCGGCTCCTACTATGCCCCACATTGCCTTCTCCTACTCCAGAGGACACTGGCATAACCTGCTTACGACTCATTCACTATGTCACAATTTAGGAAGCTAAAGTTGTCATTATGAAGTATGTATAAGGTTCGTCTTTTTAGCTACATGAGGAAGATATATTTAAAAATACATACCAGATAATTAGGCCAGGCACAGTGGCTCACACCTGTAATCCCAGCACTCTGGGAGGCGGAGGTGGGTGGATTACCTGAGGTCAGGAGTTCAAGACCAGCCTGGCCAACATGGTGAAACCTCATCTCTACTAAAAATACAAAAATTAGCAAGGCGTGGTGGCAAGCACCTATAATCCCAGCTACCCGGGAGTCTGAGGCAGAAGAATCGCTTGAATCCGGGAGGCGGATGCTGCAGTGAGCTGTGATCGCGCCACTGCACTCCAGCCTGGGCAACAGAGTGAGACTCCGTCTTAAAAATAAATAAATAAATAAAAATACATGCTAGATAATTATACATCTATCACTATTCTAGTCTGGGGTGACATTCAACTTGGACTAGGTACTCTCAGCACTCAATATGATTTCTTGAAGGAAAACTTAGGTCCGCAGCAGACTTTTAAGGAGAAGCCAAAAAACTCCCGAGAATCAAAAAACCATCCAGTTGGGAGGGCCTCTTAGACTCGGAGTGCACTTGACTCTGATGATGACTGACTCAGTGCTGCAGGGGGTTTCTACAGATGAATCACACGACAGTCAGAGAAAAGGGCACGATTTTGAATGTCCACTCTTTAGTCACATTTTTCAAGTACCACAATAGGGCAGTCTGAATACATGTCTGTTGGTGCCAAAGCAGAGAGTTCATAGTATAGAGGAACAATACGAAAGACTGATTAAAATCAATAATTCAATTCAGAAATCGCTTTTGAGTCCCTGCATATTGCAAAGCATGATCTGTAACGTTTTCAGTCACTCTGCACAAATATTGCTTTCTAAAATTAACTTTGTATCTTTTCTCATTACTACTTCCATTTCTTCTGATTAATATTTATTTATTTATTTATTTTTGAGACAGGGTCTCGCTCTGTCGCCCAGGCTGGATGGAGTGCAATGGCACGATCTCAGCTCACTGCAACCTCTGCCTCCTGGGTTCAGGCAATTCTCGTGCCTCAGTCTCCCAAGTAGCCGGGATTACAGGCGCCTGCCACCACGTTCGGCTAATTTTTTATATTTTTAGTAGAGATCAAATTTCACCATGTTGGTCAGGCTGGTCTTGAACTCCTGACCTCAGATGATCCACCCACCTTGGCCTCCCAAAGTGCTGGGATTACAGGCGTGAACCACCGCGCCTCTTCTGATTAATTTTTTAAAAAGGCCTATTCGTGGCTGGGCGCGGTGGCTCACTCCTGTAATCCCAGTACTTTGGGAGGCTGAGGCAGGCAGATTACCTGAGGTGAGGAGTTCGAGACCAGCCCGGCCAACATGGTGAAACCCCGTCTCTACTAAAAATACAAAAAATTAGCTGGGCATAGTGGTGCGTACCTGTAATCCCAGCTACTCAGAAGGCTGAGACAGGAGAATCTCTTGAACTCTGGAGAGAGATGTTGCAGTGAGCCGAGACAGCGCCACTGGACTCCGGCTTGAGCAACAAGAGAAAAACTCCGTCTCAAAAAAAAAAGCCTATTCACATATACTTTGACTTCAGTTGTTTTATACTATGTACACTTTTGCAAATATAAAACAAGGTTGAGAGTAACCTCCAAAGCAATCATTACCAGCAGAAAAGTACCATGAGAGCTTCCCTACAAGAAAGCAACAATTTTAAACAGTAGAACTCAATTGCAATAATTTATAAATTTAAAGCAAATACAGTCATCACTCAGTATCCAAAGCAATGCAGATAATACCACAGGCTATGTGATTTTCAAGCTACTGGCTTTTTCGGGTTTTGGAATGCCTTCTATTTTCGTTCTTATTATTTTGTTTTGTAGAAAATGAGTTGCTGGTATTAATATTTTAATATGCTAAAAAATGATTTTTTCCCACCTATTTTGGAACCATCTTCTTTGACTCCCTAAATGCCCAGTTAGCATCAGAAATAATTCAAAATATGAAGGAAATGTATCTACCTGGGCAAGTGAGTTGTTCTGATTTTTAAAAAACAGCAGCAAGGTAATGTTGATATCTACCACAGTCCCCAAAAAGCATTGATTACATTATTATTTCTCCATGGAGATTTGTCTAACAAAGTGTAATTGAAGCCAATATTAAAATTTGAATACTTTCTCAGTGCACACAGTAAATGTATTATTAGGGGAGCAGGAACAGTCAGAGTACTTCAGAGATAAAACTGGCAATTCACATATGAGAAAATAAAATTTTAAAAATACAGTATCTTGCTCAACTTAACTAAGCTGTATCCTGTCTATATCAGTCAATGGTCAATAAAATGATGGCTTATTTTAAAATGTTCTATGCATAAGAATGAGTTAATAACTAAAATATTTATGAGAAATACTTCACATTTTTCTGACAAGAATGATTTGAATGGTACAACTTAGTCAAGATTAAAAAAATTAAAACTTGCTTTCCTTATCCCCAAATGTTTCTGTCACTTAACTTTTGCCTATAGGTTAACTCATGATTTTCTGATGCATAGTAAAATAATTACTTTAGGACTTCCAACAGCTAACTTGCTCTGAAGGAACCGCCCAGATTCCAAGGATTTGGGGCTCATAGTTTCAGCTATATCAAAATTGAACACTTTAACCATTTGCTTTCTTTCCTTTTTTTTTTTTTTTGAGATGGAGTCTCACTGTGTCGCCCAGGCTGGAGGGCAGTGGTGCGATCTCGGCTCACTGCAACCTCCACCTCCCAGGTTCAAGTGGTTCTCTTGCCTCAGCCTCCCAAGTAGCTAGGATTACAGACGCCTGCCGTCATGCCCAGCTAATTTTTTGTATTTTTAGTAGAGATGGGGTTTCACCATGTTGGTCAGGCTGGTCTTGAACTCCTGACCTTGTGACTTGCCCGCCTCAGCCTCCCAAAGTGCTGGGATTACAGGCATGAGCCACCATGCCTGGCCAGCCATTTGCTTTCTTAGAACCTACTGGGTCAGGTTTGATTCTTAGAGCAGAATCATCTCATTTGATTCAGTTACTTAGTGTCAGTATTATTTTGACAACTGCTTCCTATTTCCTTCTTCCCATATACAGAGACTAAATCTTGGTTGGCTCTTCATCCACAGAGGGGATGGTCTGCACCTGTTTAGTAGAATTTCAGTAACCATTTCTTTCTTCTCTTTTTTTAAATTTTTAATTTTTTATTTTTAGAGATGAGGGTCTTGCCATGTTGTCCAGGCTGGTCTCAAACTGCTGGCCTCAGGTGATCCTCCCTCTTTGGCCTACCAAAGTGTTGGTATTACAGGCATGAGCCACTACACTCGGTCTCAATAACTATTTCTGAAGCATTCTTCAAGAACTTGCTGAAACAAGTCACACCAAATGCTTCTTAATTCTGCACAAACCAGGCAGTTCACAGGATGCATTCACAAGGCTCTGAAGCCCTGGGGGAAGGGAGGAAGAATTAAGCTCTGCACCGGTTGCCTCACTCTGGACAGTCACTGCAGTGATGGGTTCCGCGGGTTGCAGTCCCAGAGCTTGTGGTGCTCTCCAGACAACAGCCAACCATGCAGCTTTGGGGGAAAGCCGAATGCACTGATAAACTATGCTGCCTCTCTGTGAACTCTGGTGAGGTTCAAGTAGTGGCTGCATTTCTACCTTCCCAAGCAAACATGCTTATCTGCCCCTAAATGCTCATCTTTTCACTAGAAGACAACTCTAGTAAGGTGGTATCTCAATTCATAAGACTTTCTAGAAATTTCTCACTTCTCCAAACACCTCAACAATGGAAAAATGAATAGCCAAAAGAAATGCCATACCATGCATGTGATTCCCAGGATAGCCTATCAGACACTCAACATTTCAGGCATAGTTCAACAAGTTTGATTATATGATTTCTCCAGAAAAAAAAAGTATCTAATTATGGCAAAATGAGGACAAGGAACATTAAAGGCAAGTAGTCACAATTCGCAGTCTAGCACAGAGGAAGAATAGAATAAATACAAGCAGGGTTAGGAGAGCTGAAAGAATCCCAGTCTGGCCATTCAGTGTAGTAACAAAAAGCTCCATACATCCCAGCTGTCACTTAAGCTATCACCATATAGTAAGTGATATTCACTCCCAATCTTGGCAGTGGTGGCGGACAGCTGTGGTTGCGTACCTAACAGCCATTCTCCATCCTTCTTTCTTATGGGCAGAACCTTCTTCTCACCCCAGAGTCTGACAGTGCTGGATATCACTCAGCCTTCAATAAACCAAGACATGGAAATGTGACTCAGTCCTGCCAATAGCCCCTGAAGGGAAGTGGGCTATGGGTCTTTTGAGAAATATTTTCCTCTCTGATTAAACACACGTGTAAGGAGAAGCCCCCATCTCATTCTTGCCTTAGAGCTGATCATGTGAGGTCTTGAGGCTTGGAGTTGAGGCCCCATCTTGTGACCATGAGGGAAAGTCAGCCTGTCATCATTGTGTGGCTGGATTCATCATCCCTGAACTACCCAGCTCTGGATTTCTTGTTATGTGAGACAATCTTTACTATTAAACCTCTTATAATAGGGTCTTCTGATACGTGCAGTCAAAGGCATCTAAGGAAACGTTATTTTCTGAAGCTTCTGTTCAAGAAGGCAAGATAACTGTATAATCTATGTACATATAATTGTATAATCTATTTCAGAAATATTTCCACCAAGCATGGTTAAGAAAGCATTCAAGGCATATAAACAGGAAAATTTTAGTTGTCTGGAAAGTTCAGTTTTGCGGGACAGTTCGATCCTTGAAAATGCCAAACAAATGAGGGGTTAACCATAATTGCTTCCCTGGGAGTCACATCATCAAATATTTTCACCATTATTCACAAGTTGGCCATTATTTCATTTCTTCAAACCTTCCAAACTATATATTTCTGCGCTTTCCCCCATATCTTGGGTCGGCAGGGAAGATACTCATAGATGCGCTTTGTGGTGGTTATGGTTATATTCCCATTTCCAGTCCTCTCAGGATGCTCCAGTTCCTCCAAGCCTCGTTAGGAAACGTTTTAACCCCTTGTTGAATTGCTGTAAAGTCACTCTCCAGTGAGGATTCCATTTGAGGCTGATTGTTCCTGAGAGCAATCTGTATACTTTTCATTCCCAGGCTATCCCCACAATGTGGGAAGACTGCCATATATTTACCGAGCAACCACGATCTTACTACCTACACACTAAACCTTTGAGACATGTGGATTCCAACCACTGGAAAATTAACACTACATATCCAAAATACTCACCTACAAGAAATATAAAAGTAACATTTTCCAATTCAGAAGTATCTATTTAAGGTATCTCCATTTATTATCACTACCTTTCTTTTAAGTGACAAGAAAGACTAAATATTAACCAGATTTTGTTACATGTGTTCTACTTTTCACTGGTTTAAGCTGGTTATGATATGATCATGTAAACAAATTATCTTTGTTTATTTTTTTTTTTTGGAGACGGAGTTTCACTCTTGTTGCCCAGGCTGGAGTGCAGTGGTGTGATCTCGGCTCACCGCAACCTCCACCTCCCAGATTCAAGTGATTCTCCTGCCTCAGCCTCCCGAGTAGCTAGGATTACAGGCATCCACCACCACGCCTGGCTAATTTTTTGTATTTTAAGTAGAGACTGGGTTTCACCATGTTGCCCAGGCTGGTCTCGAACTCCTGACCTCAGGTGATCCATCCACCTCGGCCTCCCAAAGTGCTGGGATTATAGATGTGAACCACTATGCCCGGCTTATCTTTGAAGTTTCAATATTATTAAACTGAAGCTTGAAGTTTCTTGGATTTTTCCACATATGCTAAAAAATCCTATTATGGAAAGAGACAGCATGGTATGCCCTTGAGGTCAGATAAAGTGAGTTCAAATATTGGCTACACCATTAATTAGTGATGATATCATAGGCAAAATATTTCTCCTCTTTGAATCCTGATTTTCTCATCTGTAAAATGAGGATAATAATTTCTATCTCATAGTGTTTGTTGAAAGAACTAAATAAAAACCAAACAGGTACTCAGTATGTGTTCATTTCTTTTCCCTACCACCCTTCTTTAAGTGGTTTTTTTCTTCCATCTAACTTTATACACTGTTCTGTATATGTGAAATTTCTGATAACTGTAGCATATGTTTCAGGTTCTTAAATTTTAACTATTTTGATGAAAATCTTTCTAAACTTCATGTCTCAGTAAATATGATATACTGAAAATAAATTAGCCTTTTTTGGATGACAGAGAACACATTAACAAGTTATACACGATGGCCCAAGTGTTAAGGAAGATTTAGCTTTTACTATTTCACAAATGCCTCCTACCTAAGAGCCTGCATTCCCTAAACCTCATTTCTGAAAATGCACCTCAAGTGATTTTAATTCGCCTCCCCAGGTAGGAATCACTGCAGAGAACCATGAAGTCCTTAAGCGCAGGGGCTGTGAATTAGTTATTTTAGTATTTCTAGCACTTAGTACAGCGCATGACACATGAGAAACACTCAGTAAAGGCTCATATAAAGCACATGCAAATTAAAACCTCAATGAACTTCCACTTCATGCCCATTTGATTGACAAACATTTTAAAACTGGAAAATACCCAAGTGTTGTCAGGCTGTGGAACATTGGGAATTCCCATTCCCTGATGATGATGATGATGATATAAATTGCTAAAACCTTGTACAGTAAAAGTAAAGGTGTATGTACTCCACGACACAGCAATTCCACTCTTAAGAAACTACCACATGTGTGTAAAAAGATCGCAGGAGAAGGCCTAAAGTAGCCCCACTTGTGATAACAAAAACTGGAAACATCTTAAATGTCTATCAACAGGAGACCGGATAAATACATTGTGCCTATTCTTTCACAGGAATACCTTACAGCAGTTTAAATGAATGAGCTAGGGCTACATGTGTCAACCTAGATGAATCTCAAGGACCAAATGTTCAGTGAAAAAAGCAAGCTGCAGATGAACACTGTTCAGTATATACTTACAAGGATCAAAAACGTGCACACATTACATACTATTTAGGAATGTCTATGTAATTAAAGTATAAAAACATGCATAGGAAAGATATACACCAAATTAAGGGTAGTGGTTACCTCTGTGGGTGGGGAAAAGGGAATGAGTAAAGGATGGGGGTGCATTTTGGAGGGGCACTCAGGGGGCTTCAACTGAATTGACAGTGTGCTATTTTCCTTTGCTCTCCTTTCCTTTCTCCTTTCCTTTCTGCTATTCCTTTCTCCTTTCCTTTCCTTTCTTTTTTTCTTTTTTGAGACAGAGTCTCTCTGTCACACGGGGTGGAGTGTGGTAGCGTGATCTCGGCTCACTGCAACCTCCGCCTTCCAGCTTCAAGCTATTCTCCTGCCTCAAACTCCCAAGTAGCTGGGACTACAGGTGTGTGCCACCATGCCCAGCTAATTTTTGTATTTTTTTTGTAGAGATGGGGTTTCACCATGTTGGCCAGGCTGGTCTTGAACTTCTGACCTCAGGTGATCTGCCCGCCTTGGCCTCCCAAGTGTTGGGATTACAGGCATGAGCCTCTGTGCCCGGCCTGACAATGTGCTATTTCTTTTTAAAAAAACTCAGAAGCAATTACAGCAAATTATGAAGATTTGATTAAGGTGGGTACATGGGTATTTGTTTTCATAGTCTTTATACACATGTGTATGCCTTAAATATTTATAATTTTAAAAAGTTTAAAAAAGTAAGACATTAATATTCACAGACGCAGAAATCAGTATGATTCCATTTATATTAAGTTCAAAAATAGAAAAAATAAATGATATATTTTTATGGATATATACTAGGTGGTAAAGCTATTGAGAAAATCAAGAGGGCAGTTAACATAAAATTCAGGGTAGTGGTTCCTTCTGGGAGAGACACCCACAGGACGTCTATGATACTGGCACTATTCTATTTCTTAAGTTGAGTAGTGTTTATGAATCTTTAAAGTGTGTGGATATGTTTTACATAATCGTGTGTGTGTGTGTGTGCGCGTGTGTATAAACAGATAAACATTACTTTGAAAATGGGGGCATTTGTTAAAAAAACTAAGAGGGTCAGGAAAACTGAATAGTCTTCAGAAAAAAAAAAAAAACAACAACCCACAGTGGGTAGAGTGCCAGGAAGAATGAGGGTGTCCATGCCCTTGAGCTCATGGTCTGGAAAAGGAGACCTGGCAAGGTCAAGAAGCAACTTCAGTTGAGCATGCTAAGACAATGGCAGAGGCACACACGCGGTGTCACGCAGGGAGAAGGGCAGCCGCCTGAGGTTACCGCTCTGCAGAAG
Source organism: Homo sapiens (assembly GCF_000001405.40). Taxonomy (NCBI): domain Eukaryota; kingdom Metazoa; phylum Chordata; class Mammalia; order Primates; family Hominidae; genus Homo; species Homo sapiens. Next base: position 28,288,771 of record NC_000002.12, on the reverse strand, counting down.
AGATGGACTTTGAGTTGGTTCTAGATGGTTACAAGTTGAATCAGAATTGGAGACAGGAATATCTCATAGAAAGGAAAAGATTCAATAACCCATTTGATATTTGTAAACATAATTCTCCACTTTTAATTTTGCTCCTTTGGTATCTCATATTCGATGTAGAAAAGCCATAATCTATCCCAGCATTTTGGGAGGCTGAGGTGGGTGGATCACCTGAGGTCAGGAGTTTGAGACCAGCCTGACGAACATGGTAAAACCCCGTCTGTACTAAAAATACAAAAATTAGCCTGGCTTGGTGGTGGGTGCCTGAAATCCTAGCTACTCGGGAGGCTGAGGCACGAGAATTGCTTGAACCGGGGAGGGGGAGGTTGCAATGAGGTGAGATCACGCCATTGCACTCCAGCCTTGGTGACAGAGCAAGACTGTCTCAAAAAAAAAAAAAAAAGAAAAGAAAAGCCACAACCTGTCCTATATTACCAATGTTTCCCACTACTCTCCTGCCCTTTGTATCTGTGAAGAGAAATAGGTGACACAAAGATGAAGGAAGCAGACGCTGGTGTCAGGAAGCTCACAGGCCAAGTCCTTCTCCCTGTCTGGAGGGCGCCCCTTGCTTTTCTGGGTTTATCTGGTTTTACTCTCATCAAAGTTCAGATGATCAGAAATACCTCTTTTCTAGAACTCTGCATGCTTCCAACCTGTGCTCCCAAGCAGGGCTCACTCAGGGTGAGTTCTCATGAGGACAAAAGCATACCAGTGGCTGAGGCTGGGATGAAGGGGTCCCCAAAGTAGGAACCCCTCCTGTCCCAAGTGCTTCTCTGTCCCTCTGCTTCATCCACTCCCTCATCCATCACACACTGAGTGAGCAGATTCTCTGTTCCAGGCTGCCTGCTGGAACTGAGGGTCCACATTTCCTGGAGAGGGGCCGGGTGTGAACTCTGCACCTCCTGCCTGCTATGCCATCTGGGTTCTGTGCCCTCTGGATATACCACCTACTTGGATCCTGGCCCCTTTGCTGCTCTGACATTCTCATTTCCTCGGGCCTGGCTCTGTGTTCATTCCCTTCAACCTGCTATTGCTTCCAACTCTGTGATGCAGTCCAAGCCCCGCCTTCTTCCAGGAAGCCTTCCTTGCATGCTCCATTGCTCAGTGATTTCTCCAGCCTCCATGTCCATATAATCCACTTCTCAGGGGGATTGTTGACAATTTCAGTGTACTTATCTTTATGTTAGATCCCTACATGTTTGCCACTGGGTTAGACACACGGTAGGTAGTGGATGCATATTTAGTGACTAACTGGCATTGATTAGTGAGGAAATGGGGACTGCACTAGACATGTACAAAGAAACATGCTTTTATGAGATGCAGAAAGAAATTGAGCAAGAGAGAACACCATAAATAGCATTTAGTACTGTTTTAACTTCTATTTTTAAAAGAATTGAGTCACAATAAATAAACTCCTGGCCTGGGAGGATTAAAAAAGAAATCTGGTTAAATTAAGGAAGAGTTTGATTAAAAGAATCCTTAAATAAATTACAATATATTCAAATGCAAAATCCTTAGCATTTAAAAATTGGGCAAAGTCTTTAAAAAGTCATAAGCTTTTAATTTCAAAGAATTCATAGACAATGTACCAAATGTAAATGATTAGAAGAAAAAGGACAAATGAGGTGTCTGTGGTTAAAGTAAAGGGTCAGTTTAAATTCCTGTCTTGAAAAATTAGAATGAAGCAGTTAGATACAAATTTGGGAATATTGTGACTACCCCAATGCGAAGTATGACTAATGTGGCTTTAGGAAGAAAAAAAAAAGTTCCTCAAATGAATCTAACTTTTTTCCCTAAAGGATCTAGTTATGACCTTTACATTCTAGAGAAAACAACATGTATCCAAACTGACAAACATTCCCTGAGCACATACCATGGCCGGCTCTAGGGAAACCCAGCTGAGTAAGGCCAACTCCTCCCCACAGTGTCAGCATGCCCTCAACTCACTGTTCTCAGGAAAGGAGACGAGGACGAAGGTTATAACAGAGGTGTCAACCACCATGCAGTATGGGTGCAAAGATACTCCATCGAAGGGCTTCTAGGAGGCTTATTAGATGAGACTGCTTTGAGCAGGGCCTTGAAAAACAACTAGGATTTGGATAGGCAGTGGCAGTGGGAGGACTATGACTGGGAAGGGAGGGAGAGAAGCAAGAGAATCCAGGCAGAGGGAAAAGTATTAAGCAGTCACCGTAGAGGCCCAGCGAGGGAATGCGGGGGATCTGGGTAGACGGAATACAGGCTGGAGGACAGAAGCTGGAGCAGAGAGGCTCTGGATAAAGATTGCAAACTGTGGAGTGCTCTGAACACATAGTGAAGGACTGTGAACGTCTTTCTATGAGCATTACCCTTGAACATTTCTAGGGAAAAAAGCTCACACCACTCATTCCAGTGTGGCAGACACTTTCCTATAATGCCCCCAGCATGGTACAATCCTCTAGAATGGAGAATGCTTTGGAAAGTATGTACAAATCAAAAATAAGGCCAGGCGCGGTGGCTCACGCCTGTAATCCCAACACTTTGGGAGGCCGAGATGGGTGGATCACGAGGTCAGGAGTTCGAGACCACCCTGGCCAACATGGTGAAACCCTGTTTCTAATAAAAATACAAAAATTAGCTGGGCGTGGTGGTGCCTGCCTGTAATCCCAGCTACTCAGGACGCTGAGGCAGGAGAATTGCTTGAACCCAGGAGGTAGAGGTTGCAGTGAGCCGAGATTGTACCACTGCACTCCAGCCTGGGTGACAGAATGAGACTCTGTCTCAAAAAAAAAAAAAAAAAAGTTATTATTCGTTAGTAGAAGGGGGTGACTATTTACTTCTCAGTATAGGAACCAATTCCTCTCTACAAAACATCTCTTAAGACTTATCAGCCGGTGTGGTGGCTCATGCCTGTAATCCTAGCACTTTGGGAGCCTAGGCGGGAGGATCGCTTGAGCCCAGGAGTTTGAGATAAGCCTGGGCAACATAGCAAGATCCCGTTTCCATTAAAAAAAAAAAAGACTTATTTGCACATCTCTTATGTTCAAGGGAGATGCTGAGTGGAAGGCTTGATAATGGACTTACTATGTGAAAAATCCAGAGAGTCAGGCCTGAAGTTTGGGATTGGATGTAAGGCTGACACAGGACACAGTTTAAATCAAATATCTGGCAGAAGGATTACATGTTTCCTCATAAGACTTGGTTAGAAGCACTGGTCACCATGTCATTCCCCCATGCAGAAACCTTCATTAACCTATTTTTATTTCTACATTATCCTTTCCAAGCAGTTTCCATGCTGGACTTATACCGTGCAGGGATATTACAATTATAGGACAATGTCTGACCCACTAGAATGTGTGGAATGGGGATATTTTCCCCAGAAATGTTAAAAAATCAGCCACTCAGTCTGCAAGATGGGTGGGGAACAGCTTATCTGGGTGAAGCCGAGTGTTGAGTGAGGAAGGCATGTGTACTCGAGGTGGGCAAGCTTTGGCAGGTGAACTGACCTCTGTGCTCCTCTTTTCCCATTCCCAAGACTGGAAAAAACTTTAAGCTCAGGGTTGGAAATGAAGCAGGTAAAGCACGCCATACAGTCTTGCACATAGAAAAGTGCTCAATAAATACAGGCTGCAACCTAAAGAACTAAGGATGGGAGGGATGGCATACTGGGAAGAAAACGGTGTTTGGAATTTGACAGATCTGGGCTTGATTCCTCCTTTGCCAGTTGCTACCTGACCTCAGGCAACTGACTATACTCTCTAAGTCTAGGTTTTCTCATCTTTAAAATGGGATAATACCTACCTTGCAAGGCTCCTGGATGGTTTACATGGTATAATGAATATATGTGCAGAATACTTGGCACATAGCAGGTCTTCATAAATGATACCTATTATTACTCACTTTTCTCTTAGAAGCAATTAAAACAGACAAACAAACCTGAGTCTATATAATTTCTTTTCCTAGCCTGATTTCCAGCTGAGAAAATACAAACCAAGCTTTCAAAACAACTTTCAAAACAAGTTGAAAACTAAGCTTTCAACTTAGTTTTGTCCATCTATTTATTTGAGGTAAATTCAGAGTCCTTTGGAACTCTTCATTTTTAATTCTACAATCTTCTTCCAGCAAATAAAAAAT